>NC_000012.12:27084650-27237345 GCF_000001405.40 Homo sapiens | reverse complement strand
CCAGACACAATCTCTTGTTAACATCTTTGTGTTGTTACTCTCAGACTACAACAGTTCCTAGGGTAGAATTATGATGGAGTAAAATTCTTATAACAAGATTAATATGTATACTTCCTGGGAAATTTCAATATATTAAAAATGTTTATAAATAGACCTGTTTTACAACTTGAAATGCTTATCAAAAGCCCCACTCACATATGTAAAATGGTCCAGTCTTAGGTCAGCTTTCCTGGGAAATCTGAAATACTCAGATTAATGTGCTGGAGATGTATTGGAAAGTGCTCTCTGGATCAACTCAGGTGAGAGAGAGAAGACAGCAAGATCAGGCAAAGAAGTTGAAATGTAATGCAGTTGCAACAGAGGCTTCAGCCTCTCCCACAAGGGGCTCTGGAGTTGGGATGGCTCTTCAGAGTTGTCCCTGTTGAGGCACAGGACCAGGCCTTTGTACCCCAACCTCAATCAGCCATTGGATGTGGGAGAGAAAGCCCACCTGGCAGAGGGCAGTAACTGGAGAAGGACTCGGCTGGGGACTCTTAGAAGCCAGCAGTTCCGGCTGCTGTAGTAATGAGAGCCGCAATCCTAGAAGGTGGATTTGGGTGGTGCACCACAGCATCTGCTACCAGCCCACTGAAAGCTTCTTCCTCTATCTTCAGCTTGTTATATTGCAGATGCCAATAAGACAGTCATAAAGTCTGCTCTAGGCTGGGTGTGGTGACTCATGCTTGTAATCTCAACACTTTGAGAGGCTGAAGTGGGAGGATCACTTGAGCCCAGGAGTTCAAGACCAGCCTGGGCAACAAAGGGAGACCACAGCTCTACAAAAAAAAGTAAAAATTATAGTGGTGGCATGCATCTGTAGTCCCAACTACTTGGGAGGCTGAGGTGGAAGGACTGCTTGAGCCCAGGAGGTCCAGGCTGCAGTGAGCTGGGATGGTACCACTGCACTTCAGCCTAGGTGACAGGGGACCCTGCCTCAAAAAACAAAAAATAAAAATGAAACTACTCCTTAAGAATGCCCCATTCTGCCTCCTGATGTGCCGTAGTAAGGTCACATCACTTCTATATTACCCTGTTTACCCTCAATCTAATCATGAAGAAACAAAGTGGATATTTGACAAATTAATTGGCCTATACTGTTCAAAATGCAAATGTCATGAAAAGCAAAGATCAACCAAAAAACTGTTCCCAATTTTAAAAGACTAAAGCCATAGTACAACTACATGCAACGTGTAATTCCCAATTAGACCCTTGACTAGATTTTTTTTTTACTATTATTTGATAGAAAAGACATTATTGAGACAACTGGTAAAATATGATTAAGATCTGTAAGTTACATAATGTTAACATAAATTTTCTGGTTTTGATCATTGTTCTGTGGTGTAAGAGAATCTCCTTGCTCTTAAGAAATACAGCAGCATTTAAGTATAAAAAGGTAAGATGTTCTGCTTAAGCAGTATTATTTAATTTTATCTCAAATATTCCCAGTTTTGCCCCATGAAAAAACTTCAGTATCTGTCAATGGAGAGAACGTGACATTTTCAGTAACTAGGACTAATTGTGCCTCACAGAAAAATGTGTTTACCTGGAATGTCTACAAGGAGAATAGATGTTGTTTTCTAAAAGGGCCCTTTCATATAGCTTTTTACAAGATCCAGGTGGCTCCACTTTTTTCAGACTTGTGCAACTACCTCCTTCCTGCCTATGCATTTTGTTCTTTAGGTCCAAAGGCTCAGTTTCACTTACATTCTCCCTTTGATTTTTTTTTAAAAGAACAATTTGTTGTGAACTAGTTCCTTATGATGGAAATACCGTTAGTGAATTTCCATGGGGATTACAGTATCTAAATAATCTATGTTCAATCAGTAAGGTGCTTTGAATCCTGCTGTGTCCTTCAGTGTGAAGTAATATTGTTATAAATCTTTACAATCACTTAATGTTTTCATCAAAGGATCCCAAAGCTATTTATAAGCACTAATTAAGCAATTCAACACACCTGTGAACACATTGAATATTCTCATTTTAAAGACTGATTCAATTAAAGAACAATTAAAAGGATGGTTGATAGATGTATGCAAATAATGTATATGTCTTATATGGGATATAAAATAAATTAGAAAAAAATTTGAGCATTAGGATTAGGCCTAACCTATTTACTTATTTATATATTTCTAGTATATATAGGGTGAACAAATCCTCCCAGTTTGCCTGTGACTTTGTTAGTTTTAGCACAGAAAATCCTGTGTCCTGGAAATTCCCTCAATTCCAGGCAAACCAGAATAGTTGGTTACCCTAAATATACCTTCTGCTTTTATTTTAAGTTAAATTAATAAATATTAACTATATACCTTAAGAGCCAGGCATGGTGGCTCACATCTGTAATCCCAGCACTTTTGGAGGCTGAGGCAGGAGGATTGTTTGAGGTCAGGAGTTAAGACCAGCCCAGGCAACATAGTGAGACCCTGTCTCTCTCTACATAAATTTTCTTAAAAATTAGCCGGGCATGGTACCGTGCACCTATAGTCCCAGCTACTCAGGAGGCTAATGCAGAGGATCACTTGAGCCCAGGAGTTCAAGGTTATAGAGAGCTATGTTCGTGCCACTGTGCTCCAGCCTGGATGACAGAGTGAGACCCTGTCTCTAAAACAACTAAAGTTATAGACTGGTCAGCTGGACTTGTAAACTTAAAATCATACTCTGTTCTACAAGAGTGAAACTTGTGAAATTTACATGGGCTTTTTCATTTTCCACCTATTTTTTAACTTGTTTTTTTTTTTGAAGAAATGAATATGTAAATAGTGGTACAAATAAAATTATATGTTGTTCCTAGCTTCTTGTGAGCCCAGTCTTAAAATTCATAACACTAAGAAATAAAAGTTATTAAATTTTAGGGCTTGGAACTTCAACATGGAAAGGTTCATTAGGAAAAACATAAAATGTCAAAAAACACATCAACAGAATTCTCAGAGACGTTGTGAGGAATAATAGACTCTGGGGACAAATACCAAATATATATATGTGTGTATATATGTGTGTGTGTGTGTGTGTGTATGTATATGTGTATATATATATATATATATATATATATATATATATATATATATATATATTTATTTATTTATTATATCACATATGCAGAGGGATTGTGGCCTGAGAGGGAGTAGACCAGCTGGCCAGAACTCTTTAGAGTTCTATTTTCATGGGGTAGGAAGTGAAATGAAAATCCATGATTATTTGAAGGTCTGTAAGTGGAACCATCACTCTTTTCCTACTCGCCTCTTCCATGTTTGGTAGAATGTCGGGTAGCCGGCCCTTACCCGCAATCCATGTCCCCCTTGTGGTGGTAAGGTGGTCAGATGAAATACAAGATGTTCAATTCAGTTTGAATTTCATAGGCACAATGAACTGTTTTTTAGTGTTAAGGGTGTCCCTAAGTATTGCATGGAACATACACTACTATTAATATAAAATGGTTTCTTTTTTGTCTGAAATTCAAGTTGAACTGGTTGACCATTTTCCCCCCTAAATCTGGCAACCTTACTTCTTGGTCACAAAGTGGAGGATTTTTTTTTTAATAGAAAGAGAACAAGAGCAGCAAGCATATGTGTTAGACTTCCACAGTGTTTCCACTTTCATTTAGGAATTTGGGGGCCAACCAGTATATTGGCTGGCTCCAGAAGTAAGGTCTGCTAGTAAAGTCTGGAAATCCCATCCATATTCACAGTTAAACTTTCTCTTGTCCCATTCTTAAATATGAATAGATAATGGGCTTTTTGATGAAAGTCTACAACATTAAAGAGAGAATTCAAGATAAATAAATAAATAAGGTGATCCTGGGGAAAACAACTAATGCATGGAATAGGTTAGAACTTTTTTAAGATATATATAAAACACTCAGAGACATTGAGATGACACTGTGCTATGGGTGGAATCATGTCCCCCCGCCCCCACCCCCCGCCAAATTCATAAGCTGAAGTCCCAACTCTCAGTACTTCAGAATGTGACGGTATTTGAAGAAAGGGTCTTTAAAGAGGTAATTATAGGTATATGCCCAAAAGAAAGGAAATCATTATATCGAAGAGATATCTGCACTCCCATGATTGTTGCAGCACTGTTCACAATAGCCAAGATTTGGAAGCAGCCTAAGTGTCCATCAACAGATGAATGGACAAAGAAAATGTGATACATATACACAATGGAGTACTATTCAGCCATAAAAAAGAATGAGACCCTGTCATTTGCAACAACATGGATAGAACTGGAGATCGTTACATTAAGTAAAATAATCCAGGCACAGAAAGACAAACAGCACATATTTTCACCTATCTGGGGAAGCTAAAAAATTAAAACAATTGAACTCATGGAGATAGAGAGTAGAGGGTTACCAGAGGCTAAGAAAGGTAGTTGGGGCAGGGGGATGGTGAGGGGAAAATTGTGATTATTAATGGGTACAAAAAATAGAAAGAATGAATAAGAACCAGTATTTGATAGCAAAACAGGGTGATTATAGTCAATAATAATTTAATTGTACATTTAAAAATAACAAGAGAATATAATTGAATTGTTTGAAACACAAAGGATAAATGCTTGAGGTGATGGATATCCATTTATCTGATGTAATTATTACATATTGCACGCCTGTATCAAAACATCTCACGTAACCCACCAATATATACACCTACTATGTACCCACAATTTGTTTTAATTTGGCAGGGAAAACAAGAGATAATTAAGTAAAAATGGGCCCTTATCCAATTTTACTGCTGTCTTTGTAAGAAGAGATTAGAACATAGCCATGTACAGAGAAAAGATGATATAAAGACACAGGGTGAAGACGGCTATCTACGAACTAAGGAGAGAGGCCTTGGAAGACACCAACCCTTCTGACACCTTGATCTCAGATTTCTAGTCTCTGGAATTGTGAGAAAATAAGTTTCTGTTGTGTCCACCCAGTCTGTGGTACTTTGTTATGGAAGCCCTAGCAGATTAATGTACATTGTATTCCTAAAATAGGAATATATGCTTTGGAAAAGAAAAAATCAGAAAACAAATCTTATTCTTGGAATTTAAAAATACAACTGACAAAAAAATATGTAAAATCTTGGAAAGTAATATAAGGAAATCTTGCAAAAGTGAAAAATAGGTGAGAAAGTAAAGAAATAAGGGATCATTCACCTTAAGAGGAGAGGAATTTACTCAACTCATAGGTATTTGAGGGTACAAACCCATGGCAGGGCTCGGCTCTAAAAATGTCTTATCTAAGATTCCTTCTATGAAACAGAGTTCCATCAAAGCCAATTTAAAAAGAGCTTATGTGAAAAATAATTATTCTTGCTGCACTTTGTACAAATAATCAGGCCAAGTAAAATAAAGCAAATCAGTCTTACCATGATTTGTCTTTAGTAAAAATGGGAAACTGGAGAGAGAAATATTATATTTCAAGAACTATGGTACACTTGTTATTAAATTCTAGTCTCATCAGTTATTTTTAATTTTGTTTCTGCAATTTAGGCTAACTCTGCTTATTCCTGTGAACCAACCAGTGATCTCTGACTGCTGCTCGGAAGACACAAGAAGGGTGGGTAATGTAAAAATCTGAATCAATATTCTAATTCTGGGCACACTGGAATCAGCTAGCAACCCCATATCAGCTTGGTTCCAACAGTTGCGCAGTTCATGGAAAGCCTTCTAATTTAGTTTACTTGGGATAATTTTGCTTATTTTGGTTTACTTTGTGGAATATATTGCTGTTGTACTCTGTGTGGGAAAGCTGAATAAGCTTACTCAACATTTTCTTAAACTGAATACTTATTAATCTTCCAGATATTACCTTTTGTCAGAACTCAAGAGTCACGAATGACCCTCACCATACTGATGTTTTCTGACTGAGTTCCTCTCTACCTTGAATATGAGAGACCCTAATAGTTACGCAGGAATATCATCGCCCCTATTCAGCCTGAAGAAGTTACAGAAGATGAATCTTCATTCCTCTGCAACCCTTAGGATTAAGGGTTCTCTTAGAAAAGGGAGGGAGTAGCTGGGCAGGGTGGCTCAACGCCTGTAATGCCAGCACTTTGGGAGGCTGAGGTGGGTGGATCACCTGAGGTCAGGAGTTTGAGACCAGCCTGGCCAACATGGCAAAACCACGTCTCTACTAAAAATACAAAAATCAGCCAGGTATGGTGGCAGGTGCCTGTAATGCCAGCTACTTGGGACGCTGAGGCAGGAGAATTGCTTGAACCCAGGAGCAGAGGTTGCAGTGAGCTGAGATCACACCACTGGCCTCCAGCCTGGGCCACAGAGTGAAACTCCGTCTCAAAAAAAAAAAAAAAAAAAGGTGGGGAGAGGGGAAATGTCAGAGGTGTTTAAATCAGAGCAACTCCATCTTGAATAGAGGCTGGGTAAAATGAGGCTGAGACCTACTGGGCTGCATTCCCAGATGGTTAAGGCGTTCTAAATCACTGGATGAGATAGGAGATTGGCACAAGATACAGGTCATAAAGACCTTGCTGATAAAACAAGTTGCAGTAAAGAAGCTGGCTAAAACCCACCAAAACCAATATGGCCACCTCTTGTCATCCTCACTGTTACACTCCCACCAGTGCCATGACAGTTTACAAGTGCCATGGAAACATTAGAAAGTTACCCTATATGGTCTAAAAAGGGGAGGCATGAATAATCCACCTCTGTTTAGCATATCATCAAGAAATAACCATAAAAATGGGTAACCAGCAGCCCTTGGGGCTACTCTATGGAGTAGCCATTCTTTTATTCCTTTACTTTCCTAGTAAACTTGCATGAGAGAAAGAAGGAAGGGAGGGAGGGAGGGATGGACTTGCATTCAGTTTAAGAGAAAGAAGAAGGGAAGGGGAGGGGAGGGGAGGGAAAAGGGAAGGAGTTTCAGAAAGTCCAAAGTGGCTAAAGAGCATTTCAGAAAGAAAGAATAGCAAAATAATAGAAAAGCTAAATGAAAAAACAAACTGTCTTCAAGTTGAAAAAGCCCTTTGATTGCAGAGCAGGAGTGAAGGAAGAAAGGGAGAGAGAGAAGGAAAGAAAGGAAGGGAGGAAAGAAAGAAAAATCCTAGGTATATTACTGAGAATGCATAATAAACCCTAAAAGCTTCTGGAAAGCAAGTTAAAACGCACACACACACACACACACACACACACACACACACACACACACATATCACTATCAAAGGAAAGAACGTCAGAGTAGCTGCCAAAATTCAAAGAGAAATGAGTCTCAACCCAGAAGCCTATGGCTAGGCAAACTATCAATTAGGTTGAGGCAGAATACAGATGTTGTCAAATATGTGAGGATTTGGAAATTTTACTCCCAATGCATCCTTCCTTAGAAAGTCATTTGAATATATTCTCTAGCAAAATGGAGAAATGGAAGTCCATGGGTCCTATCGAGGAAAGCAATGAAGGGAAGTGCCAGGATAGCATCTATTTAGCAAGTTTAAGAGAGACATTCCTTCATTTATTCAGCAAGTATTTATTGTGCACTTGCTACATGCTAGGCAGTCTTCTGGGTGCTGGAGCTACAACAGTGAGTAAGAGAGAAGAGAGACACCATTATGCTTGCATTCCAATGAGGGACATAGAAAAGATGTAAAGAAATACATGTGTGAGCTAATTGTAGGTACTGATAAATGCCATGATGGAAAATAAAGCAGGGAAAGAAGTGTACTGGTGCAGGTGGAATGGACAAGGACAGTCTCTCTGAGGGATGACACTTGGGCTGAGGCCTGAGTGAAATGAGGAACTAACTGGGTGATAGGAAACTCTGGGAGAAATGTATTCCAGGAAGAGGAAACAGCAAATGCAAGGTCCAGCTATAGAAATGAGCTTTGTGTGTTTGAAGAGTGAGAAGAAAGTAACCGTTGCAGGAATGTTGGGAGTGAAATAAGTGTGGTAGGAGATGATCTCTGAGGAATAAGCAGGGCCCTTCTCTACTGTGTTGGCTGGGACAAGACATCATTGGAGGGTCTTGAGCAAGAGAATAAAGTGAGCAGAATAATGGAAGAGTATGGGAAAAGGGGGCCTTAATGAGCTAGAAGTATGATTGAAATGATGGAAAGTCTTAAGGATCAGGGCAAACAATTAAAAGGAAAAAATGGAAAGTCATTTGAAACTCGAGGGAAAAAAGGTTGTACAAGAAAATCAATATAATCTTAGCACATTACATGGCTCTCCATTGAAAACAATAATATAAGTAATTTTCACTGACTTTTAACTTTTAGGATCAATCTATAATAAAACCAAAATAGATTTCATTATGTTTGCATAAAAGGTAAGAAGAAGGATGAGGCATTAATGAAATAGGGAGTTAGGAGATCTTATCTATAGGTTAATGGACAAGAAATAGAGGTTTAATTATTTAAAATTTCAAAAGTAAGCAACCGAAGAACTAAAAATGTTTAGTTAAATATATTGGCAGGAGAGGAGAAAGGTGAGTATAGTTTTGGAAGGGAACTAAATTCTCAATGATCATAGCAGGAAGTCAGTAGATAATGTCTGAAGTTGATCAATCAATCAAAAACGTAAGTATAAGCATATTATTTACAGAAGTGGAGGTAACCATTGGAATTACAAGTTCTGGCCTCTGGAGAGAGGGCCAGAGAAGAAAAGTGAGGGGCAGAGGATTATTACTTGTTGTTATAAGCCCTTGAGTCTTTAATGTTTTTTAATAGCACATATATTAGTTTGACTTTAAAAACATTTTAGGCCAGGAACAATGGCTCACACCTGTAATCTCAACATTTAGGGAGGCCGAGGTGGGTGGATAACTTGAGGCTGGGAGTTCGAGACCAGCCTGGCCAACATGGTGAAACTCTGCCTCTATTAAAAATACAAAAACATTAGCCAGGCATGGTGGCACACACCTGTAATCCCAGCTACTCGGGAGGCTGAGGCACGAGAATCATTTGAACCTGGGAGATGGAGGTTGCAGTGAACTGAGATTGCACCACTGCACTCCAGCCTGGGCAACAGAGCTAGACTCTGTCTCAAAATAATTTAATTTTGTGTATATCAATCAATCAATAAATAAATCTAGACCCACCAAATCTATTTGTCTACATGAAGTCAAGATTTTCTTTTATGATCCAGCAATAGGTCCAAGTGAAATAAAATGATCTACTTCTTTTTTTTTTTTTTTTTTTGGGACAGAGTTTCACTCTTGTTGCCCAAGCTGCAGTGCAATGGCATGATCGTGGCTCACCACAACCTCTGCCTCCCGGGTTCAAGTGATTCTCCTGCCTCAGCCTCCCAGGTAGCTGGGATTACAGGCATGTGCAACCACACCTGGCTAATTTTGTATTTTCAGTAGAGACGGGGTTTCTCCACGTTGGTCAGGCTGGTCTCAAACTCCCGACCTCAGGTGATCGACCCGCCTTGGCCTCCCAAAGTGCTGGGATTACAGGCGTGAGCCACTGCGCCCGGCCAAAATGATCTACTTCTAAAAGATCCACCCTGAAGTGTCTATACATGAATGTAGGAGGATGGGAGTGAAGAAGCATTAAACAGAGCTAGCGGAATAGCACAGTAGTTAGGAGCATGGCCTCTGGAAGCAGACTCTGTGAATTTGAATCCCAGCTTTGCCTCTCACTAACTGTGTGACCTTGGGAAAGATACTTTACTTCTCTGTTCCTCAGTTTCCTGTAAAATGGGGGTCATAAAAGTACCTACCTCATATGGCTTTAAGCAGTAAATAAGTTAATCTTTGTAATGTATAGATAAAACAGTGTCAGCTGGGTGCAGTGGCTCATACTTGTAATCCCAGCAATTTGGGAAGCCTAGACAGGAGGATTGCTTGAGCCCAGGAGTTCAAGACCAGCCTGGGCAACATGGTAAAACCCTATCTATACAAAAACTTTAAAAATTAGCTGGGCATGGTGGCACGCAGCTATAGTCCTAGATACTCAGGAGGCTGAGGTAAGAGAATCGCTTGGGCCTGGGAGGTGGAGGTTACAGTCCAGCCTGGGTGACAGAGTGAGACCTTGTCTCAAAAAACAAAACAAAAAAAACGGTGTCTGCACGTTGTTGGCATTAAATTCATATTTCTTTAAATTACAAAGCACAGTATGATTTGAGGGCAATAGAAGAGTGTTCCAGCCAAATTTCTCTCTCCTACAGGTATGAAATTCCATTATTATAGATTTTGTTGAAGGATTTACAATATTTTAGAATGCTCCATGAATAGAGTTCTCTTGAGAGGAATTACATCTTAAATTCTCATTTGCTCCAAACTTGTTTGAATTAATCAAACCCTTTCCAACCTTGATCCTTATCTGAACATAGGGCATCCTTGTTAGGTAGCTGAGATAGAGGAAGGGGCTGGTTTGCCAAGAGAGTAGAAAGCATCAAAAAGGGAGGTGAGAAGACAGTTCCACAGGGAACTAACTAGGAGGACTCTAGGCAAACAACCTCATGGTTTGGCCAAGGACCAGACTTTAACGAATAGTCTTGGCTCCTGTTTCCCCATGGCCTGTCCTATTCCTGTCTGTCTCACACTGACACGTTTGAACCAGGATAGACCAGGGAATGTGTTCCGGGTTTGGCACAGGCTCAAGTTATTTATTACCAGACTGAAAAGAAAAAAAAAAAGCCATGTTGGTTCTGGATCTGTCATGGGGTCAAACCCCAAGGACTATGTTTTTCACATTTATTTTTGTTCAAGACTCACTGGCTACTGCAAAAGACTAGAATCCCAAAGGGTGGTCCCTGAACCAGTTCAGCCTTGAGGGCTTGGGAGGGGCTGTTTGTTCAGGCAGGAAACAGCTCACAGAAACTCAACCCGCCTTTGGGAGTGGTTGCCTTGGGAGACCTTTCAATCCCCTCGGAATGGGGCCTCTGGCTGGCTGACCTCTACTCTTTCCACAAGAACAGTGTCTGCATTTGAGTGGAAAGAACATGTGTACAAGTGAGGACTTGCCCCACTTCAAGATGAGAATTTCTGATCCATAGACAGTCTGCTTTGGGAGTTGATGAAATCTGAAGTGTGGCCTTTTATAGGAAGCTTTTTCAAGATTTTAGGTTTCACTTTGAGAGAAACATGATATAGGAGGAAACTGGGCTGGATCAAACAGTCACCATCTGTATTTGCATTTAACATACAGAAATCATAAAATTTTAAGGCTGGAGAAGACTTGACCAGATGACAATCTGGTCCTTCTCCCTTCTTCCTATACGCGAGGAAGATCTGAAGGAATTAAGTCATGAATAACCTCAGTCACCATCTATTGAGTAACTGAGATTAAACTCAAGTGTACTGACATCCAGGAAGTAATTCAGTTCCTCTTACTCCACTTGTAACCTGAAAGGCATTTGGGAGAAACTATGTAAGACTTGGAGAAAATATAGAGCTCGGGCCTGTAATCCCAGCACTTTGGGAGGCCGAGGCGGGTGGATCACCAGAGGTCAGGAGTTCGAGACCAGCGTGGCCAATATGGTGAAACCCCATCTCTACTAAAAATACAAAAAATTAGCTGGAAGTAGTGGCAGGCACCTGTAATCCTAGCTACTTGGGAGGCTGAGGCAGGAGAATCACTTGAACCTGGGAGGCAGAGGTTGCAGTGAGCCCAGCTCATGCCATTGCACTCCAGCCTGGGCAACAAGAGCAAAACTCTGTCTCAAAAAAAAAAAAAAAAAAAAAAAAGAAAATATGTTATTTTCTTTGTATGATTATTACCTATAAAAATACAAAAATAATTTCAAACGCTATAAAAATTTTTAAGTTTCTAAATGGTTTAACATGTGTTAAAGCCATCTTTGTCTCATAACCACCTGTAACCTATGACATGTTCAATGAGAAACCTTCCAGAAGCAACTCACACTGGGAGTTGGTCTAGACCTCTGAAGTGGAGTGTAACTGATAAGGAAAAAAGAAGCTCTAGATGTCTCTCTTGAACCCCCATTCCCACCAAAAAGGCCGGGCTTATATGTCTGGGAGTTGCCAAGGGCAAAAGAAACTTGGAGGCTTAAGACTGGCAATGGCCAGGCCAGGGCAGTCTAGCCCAGCATGTCAATTCTACTGTGGGTCCAAGGCAAGGATTCTAGATCCAGAGTACCCATGAGCTGGGGACAGAAAAAAAGGAGAGGGGACAGGAAAGTCTGGGAGCAAACAGGTAGGAACCAGACACATAGAACTGTTCCCACCTAGGAATAAGCCCATCACTCTCTAACTGTCTCAGCATGGATGGTCTATGGTCTAGGCTGTAAAGTGTATCCATCCTAAAATATGGAAATACTAACGTAAGATCAGACTTTGACAAAATAAATGCATGGGGACTACAAAGTGACTGAATGCTTAAAAGGGTGGAAGTAGGAACGGAGTGGGGAATGGAAGATGTCAGAGAAGAAAGCAAACTCTTCTTAATGGGGCAGTATTGATGAAAATGAGCCTTTGCTACTCAATGCTTTTATCTGCCTTTCACTGACTCATCACTTATACCCTTTTTTTTAGCTAATACATCTTTAATAGGCTTCATTTTTTAGAGCAGTTTTAGGTTCACAGCAAAATTGAATGGAAAGTACAGAGAGTTCCCAGATACCCCCTACCTCCCCACACATAGCCTCCCCAACTGTCAACATCTAGCACCAGAATGACATATTTGTTATAATCGATGAGCCTACATTGACACATCATTATCACTAAAAGTCCATAGTTTACACTAAGGTTCACTCTTGGTGCTGTTCATTCAATGGGTTTTGAAAAATGTATGATGACATGTGTCCACTATTATAATATTATACAAAACAGTTTCACTGCCCTGAAAATATTATGTGTTCTGCCTAGTCATCCCTACCTCCCTGCTAACCTCTGGCAAACACTGATTGTTTTACTATCTCCATAATTTTTGTATTTTTCCAGAATGTGATATAGTTGGAACCATACAGTATGTAGCCTTTCAAACTGGCTTTTTCACTCAGTGACATGGATTTAAGGTTCTTCCATATATTTTAATGCCTTAATAGCTCATTTCTTTTAGCACCGAAAAATATTCTATTGTTTGGATGTCCCACAGTTTATGTATCCATTCCTCTACTGAAGGACATCTTTGTTGTTTCCAAGTCTTGGCATTTATGAATAAAGGTGCTGTAAATAGCCATGGACAGGTTTTTGTGTGGACATAACTTTTCAACTTATTTAGGTAAATACCAAGGAAGGTAACTGCTGGATCATATGGTAAGAGTATGTTTGATTTTGTAAAAAAAACTGCCACACTATCTTGCAAAGTGGTGCAGCCACTTTGCATTTAGTAGTTTGCATTTTTCTAATGGCATATGATATTATATCGAGCATCTTTTCATATACTTGTCATCTCTGTATGGTCTTTGGTGAGGTCTCTGTTAAGGTTTTTTGCCCATTTTTTAATCAGGTTGTTCATTTTTAATTGTTGAGTTTTAAGAGTTCTTTGTATATTTTAGATAACAGTCCTTTATCACATATGTCATTTGCAAATATTTTCTTCCATCTGTGGCTTATCTTCTCATTCTCTTGCAGAGCAGAAGTTGTAAATTTTAATGAAGTTTAGCTTACCAACTTCTTATTTCATGGATCATGACTTTAGTATTGTATTTTAAAAGTCATTGCCATACCCAAGGTCATCTAGATTTTTTTCCAGGGTTATTATCTAGGAGATTTTAATAGTTTCACATTTTACATATAGGTCTATGATCCATTCTGAATTAATTTTTGTGAAGGGTGTAAAGTCTGTGTCTAGATTCAATTTTTGTTTTCCATTTGGATGTTCCATTGTTCCAGCACCTTTTGTTGAAAAGTTTCTCTTTTTCTCTATTTTATTGCCTTGTTACTTTGTCAAAGATCAGTTTTATTATATTTATGTAAATTATTTCTGGCTTCTCTATTCTGTTCCATTGATCTATCTGTCTATTCTTTCACCACTATCACACTGTCTTTGTTATGGTATAGTGTTGGTCCTCTGACTTCGTTCTTCTTCTTCAATATTGTGTTGGCTATTCTGGGTCTTTTTCCCTTCCTATAAACTTTAAAATCAGTTTGTTCATGTTCACAAAATATATTGCTGGGCTTTTTATTGAGAATGCATTAAATCTATAGATCAAGTTGGGAAGAATTGAAATCTTGACCAGATAAGTCTTCCTGTCCATGAACATGGAATATCTTTCCAATCATTTAGATCTTTTTAAATTTTTCTTATCAGAGTTTTATACTCTTCATTATCTAGAACTTCTTCATATATTATTAGATTTCTACCAATTTCATTTTGGGGAATGCTGATGTAAATGGTATTGTGGTTTTTATTTCAAATTTCATTTGTTCATTGCTGGTATATGAGAAAGCAATTGACTTTTTTTTTTTTTTTTTTTTGGAGACAGGGTCTTACTCTGTCACCCAGGCTGGAGCACAGTGGCATGGTCATGGCTCACTGCAGCCTTGACCTCCCAAGCTCAAGTGATCCTCCCACCTCAACCTCCCAAATAGCTGAGACTACAGGCACATGCCACAGTGCCCGGCTAATTTTTCTATTTTTTGTAGAGACATGGTTTCACCATGTTGCCCAGGCTGGTCTCGAACTCCTGGGCTAAAGCAGTTTACCACCTCAGCCTCCTAAAACTGCTGGGATTATAGGCGTGAGCCACTGCACTTGGTTGCAATTGACTTTTGGATGTTAACCATATCCTGCACTAGTTCCAGGAGTTCTCCTTGTTGATTCTTTCAGATTTTCTAAATATACAAATTTTAAAGTTTTGTTACACCAATTTCTTCTTTCAGTTTTTGTCACTGAAGCAGCAGAGGTAGGGGAAAGGGATTTGTGGACAGAGACAATTTTTCTTCTGATTCCCCAGGCTGAACTGAGCAGAGCTGGAATTCAGATCACAGGATACCTGGAAGGGTGGCCAGTGGAAAGGAGAGATAGTGGGGAATAAGATAATTACCCACTTTCCCGATTTTTTTTGCCTGATTCTCAGCTATTGAGTCCTACCTCCCTTTCCCCGATGCTTTCTTTGCCCAAACAGCCGTGGATGGTTGGAGATCTTCTCTCATTCTCAGGGCTCTGGACAATGCCTCCAAAATTTCTAATGCAGAACTGGCTGGTCCTCAAGTTTGTTCTTCTGCAATCCTGGCTACCCAGCTGGTCTCCAAAGTCTCTTCAGTTAAGCAATCTGGGGCTGGGGGGTGGGGAGATCTTTGCGGCTTTATCCTACCCTTCACGTCCAACCACCCAGCAAGCCTGGGCCAAGTCAAGCAGCCCCTACAAGCAATATCCTACCAATGTGTATTCAACATTGATTTGGTCAGGATATGGAGAAATGTATTATTTTTTAATCAATAAAAAGTCTAAGTAGAAACAGATTTTTAAAATAATCCACTTCTACTAGCTGAAGAACAGGAAATGTTCTAAAAAAAGTTTAATGATCAGTTCCCATTTTTCTGAAGCTCATCTTCTCACTTCAGTTTTGTTTATTCGTAATTTTAAGAACAAGAAATCATTTTGAGAGGTATATGAAAGGGTGAGTTAAACCACTCATTCTCGGGAAACAGCACTAGGCCACCTACTGTTGACTCAGAAGTTTCAACTGACCAAGAGTGCACAGGTGCATCTCAAAAATATCCATTTTAGATGCGCTGCTGCTAATAAAGTGTTGTTTTCATTTCCTTTTGAGAACTGTCAAAAGACAAAATTACAACAAATGTAGTTAAGTGATCTAATTGGCTTTTATTTGTGATGAATGGATCAGGGTACTATCTCCCATAAAAATTTAGAAAAGGTGGCTGGGCACCATGGCTCATGCCTGTAATCCCAACACTTTGGGAGGCCAAGGCAGGAGGATCACTTGATCCCAGAAGTTTGAGAACAGCCTGTGTAACAGAGAGAGACCCCCATCTCTACCCAAAATCAATCAATCAATAAAATAAAAAATTTAGAAAAGGTGATCTGATGAGCTAAGCAGAAGAGGTGGGCTTTATAGGCAGAAAAGGGGTTAAAAAAAAGCAGAAATAAGGAACAAAAAGTGAATCGGTCATTTCAAAGTTACTTTCCTTATCGGATTAAAGCAGGGGGTACTCCTTTATCATGCCAGCTAAAACTGGCCTGTTAGGGGATTTGGCTATGCTGTCTTTCCCTCTTTCTCTCTCTCCCCCTTAGTTTCTTGAAAGGTAGATGACTTAGTTTCTGTTTGGTGACATGAAACTTTAGCATGAGTGACTCCATTTTGGTTTGATCTGTAGAGGCCCAGTCCAAATCAATAGCATCGTACAAATTTTATTTAAAAGAATAGTGCTGCTGGGCGTGGTGGCTCATGCCTGTAATGCCAACAATTTGGGAGGCTGAGGCCAGTGGATCACTTGAGGTCAGGAGTTTGAGACCAGCCTGGCCAACATGCTGAAACTCCATCTCTACTAAAAAATACAAAAATTAGCCAGGCATGGTGGTGTGTGTCTGTAGTCCCAGCTACTCAGGAGGCTGAGGCATGAGAATTGCTTCAGCCTGGGAGGTGGAGGTTGCAGAGATTGCACCACTGCATTCCAGCCTGGGCGACACAACGAGACTCTGTCTCCATTAAAAAAAATAAAAAAAGGATAGTGTCTACCTCAGTGAGACTGGAGCCAGTTTTTAGCTCCACAGCTACATAAGGAGTTGATAGAAAAACTGGAGTAATGAACACTGTTTTCCAGTTCATCTCACTGGTGTGTGGAGTTGATTTGGTTTTGCCAGTGTTATTTAGCATCCTTTTAAAATCACCCCTCCCCAACCCATCTCCTCGTACAGCTGCCCACAGGCCTGGCTCAGAAATCTGTCTCAGAAACTGAGTACCACCTAGTCTAGTCACAGTTTCTTTATGAACTACTCTGCCTTGGCTCACTGACTTGAAGTTGACAACTTACTCTTGAATAATTTAACTCCTTTCTTGGAACTGACTCCTTCTTCAGACTTCTCTTAACTTTCACTTCTGCATGTGGGAAGAAAGTAAAGGTATTAGAGACACACTGTGTAACTGGCTACAGGGTACATGGACCTTATTTCCCCCTCCCTGACAGCAAGGGCTTGTACTCAGCCTGATGTCTGGGCATAATATAAACCTAGCTTGATCTCTATTCATCACAGTCTCCACCTTTACTTACTTGAGTGTGATGATTTGTTTGAGATGTTTTGCTTTACTCATGAGGGTATGGAAATACGAAAAAAAGATAGATTGACTCATACTGTAATTCTACACTGATACATTGCAGCAATATTAACATTAATTCAATTTAAAATTCCACATTCCACATGTGTATTTGGCAATGTAGTTCTGGGAGGTAATTTGGAAATACATATCAAAACCTTAACAATAGTTACATTAGTCAAGAGCCTTGATTGCCAAAGACAGAAAGCCAGTTCAGATTAGTTTAAATAAACAGGGAAATTTATTAGGTCAAATAATTGGACAAGTCTAGGGAAGCACCTTGCTTCGGTCATGGCTGAGACCAGGAACTGAAATGATGGCATCAGGCTGGGCGCAGTGGCTGACACCTCTAATCCCAGCACTTTGGAAGCCTGAAGCAGGAGGATCGCTTGAGGCCAGGAGTTCCAGACGAGCTGGGGCAACATAGTGAAACCCTATCTCTACAAAAATAAAAATAAATTAGCCAGGCATGGACGTGCACACCTGTAATCACAGCCACTGGGGAGGCTGAAGCAGGAGAATGGCTTGAACCCAAGAGTTTGAGGCTGCAGTGAACCATGAACGCGTCACTGCACTCCAGCCTGGGTGACAGTGAGACCTTGTCTCAAAAAAAAAAGAAAGAAAGAAAGAGAAAAAAGATGTCAGTAGGAATCCCCCTTTGTCACTTCATTATTTAGCTCTGCTTTCTTCCATGTTGGCATCAAGAGGGCCCTCATCAGTCCCAACCTTAAATGATTTTTGGTGCCATTTAAGAATTTCAGAAGGAAAGAGATGTTTTCATCCAAGAGTTATTATCAGACCTAGAAAATTTCCCTCTTATTGGCCCTACTTAGATCATATGCTCACTCCTGGACCAGTCACTGTGCCTGGAGTGGTAGGAGACAGGGCACTCTGATCAGTCCCAGCCATGTGATGAAACATTTTACCAGTTGTGGGAGAGGCAGATACTAAAAGGCAATGAGAGAGTGAGGTAGGAGGTCAGTTCTATCATGTGAAAATGAGAAGAAACTCTAGGCAGGCAGAAACAAGTGATATCAAAATACAATGTTCATTCTCGTCTATGAATATTTACCCTTAAGAAATAATCAGAAGTGTGAGAGAGTTATGCAGTTATTCCTCACAGAATTATGTATAATAATAAAAATTGGCTGAACATGGTGGCTCACGCCTGTAATCCCAGCATTTTAGGAGGCTGAGATGGGTGGATCACTGGGGCCCAGGAGTTCAAGACCAGCCAGGCAACATAGGGATACCCCTGCACTACAAAAAAAAAAAAAATTAAAAAATTAGTCAAGCTTCGTGGCACATGCCTGTAGTCCCAGCTACTCAGGAGGCTGAGGTGGGAGGATCACCTGAGCCAGGGAGGTTGAGGCTGCAGTGAGCCATGATCACGCCACTGCACTCCAGCCTGGGTGACAGTGAGACCTTGTCTCAAATAATACAATCTAGAAAGAATTGGAATGTTTAATAGTAAGGGATTTCTTGAATAAATTGGTACCTGGATTCAACAGAACACTATGTGGCCTTTGAAAAGTATTATAGAGGAAAACTCAGCGACATGAAAAAATGTTCAAGGTATCTTGTTAGGCACAACAACAGTATGCGAATCATGATCCCAATTTGTGTGTGTGTGTGTGTGTACATACACACACACACACACACACATATCTTTTTATATACATTTTATGCATATTATATACATTTTATCTATTTAAAACATAACATGTAAATGTTATGAAAGAGTGAAATAATATACTTTACAATGTTGATTACTTCTAGTTGTTGAAATTAGGGATAATTTTCATCATTCTGGTACTTTTCTCTATTTTCTACAGTAAATGTGTCTTTTTAAAAATTAAAAACATTATTGAAAAGCCTTTAATTCCTCCCTGCCAATTTAAAACTGATCATGCTATTTCTGTCTGTGAGAAAAGGAGCTGAAATGGAGAGTCTAATTACTGATAAATAGCAATCATCGGTTAGACTTTAAGCAGAGTATTTAGAAGAATAAATTATTCACCAGTATTTTAAGATTAGCTGAAACCCAAATGTATTCTCTATTATGTCTTATTTCCATATTTTGAGGCTTTATCTGTATGCACACTGCTGACTTTTTCAGAATTAATCAACCAGCCAGCTCCATGAAGAAAGTACAGGCCCAGATATCAGCACAGGGAGCGATTCAGGGTATCTTTTCTAAACTTCATAATTACTCTTGACTGTATCTGTAGAAAGCTGAATGCATTTCCATGCTGCTAGAGACAGGGAATTTTTCTCAATAGTATTCGTAACACTCAGATTAGAGGAAACTACTTCAGCAAAATAGAGAACAATAAACATCCTAAATGACCAAACCTATAGCTCCTAAATTGCTTACTCTGCTCATTTAAGTTTTCCTTGGAGAATTTTGATTTTGAATGAGACTTTACACCATCCAAAGAACCTCTGCATTATTCAACATTAGAAGAGAGGATTGCATAACTGGTCTCTCCCCAGTTTACCAACCAAGTATCAATGAGCCACCGTTCTGGCCAGTGAGATGTAAGTAGAAGTTGTTGGATGGGATGTGAGGAAAGTTCTTTTATCAAAAGCTTTCTCAGCTGACATGTGCTGTTTTGCTCTTTGCATTTTCCCTTCTTTTTTTACCTGGAATACAAATGCATTTTGAGTGGTAGAGCAGCCGTCTTGTGACAATGAGGTAACAAGTGCAAGGTCTAAGACCATCTGCTATGATAGCAGAGTAGGAACATGGAAGGAGCCTGAGTCCTGGTAGGCACTGTGAAGGGATCATACCAGCCTTGACTGCTTACCTCTGGATTTCTTATTTGTGCAACACATAACTCCCTTACTTGTTTAAGCTTTATATCAAGTTCACAGGGCATTTTCTTATGTCCTATAAATTAGCTAGGAATGCTAACCTAACGAATTCACAGGACATAAGAAAATGTTCGTGATATGTTGTTAAGCAAATATAGCAGGTTATAGAGCAATGTACAGAGCAGGTTACCAACTATTTATTAACATTTATGTGTGTGTGTGTATATATATATAATATATATATAAATGCACACAATACTTACATAAGCCTTTTATATATGTATATTTTTAATGCAAATTATACACATTTTATTTATATAAAGATAAAAGATGTGCTTAAGAAGAAAAGGAGGATGGTAATACCCACCTATGCAGCTGAATGGGATAAATCAACCTCCTGCAGTGAAGGGATTGGGAGTGACATCCAGTTTACCTGTTTATTCCTTCTCCCAT
Source organism: Homo sapiens (assembly GCF_000001405.40). NCBI lineage: Eukaryota > Metazoa > Chordata > Mammalia > Primates > Hominidae > Homo > Homo sapiens. The sequence goes on along the minus strand of NC_000012.12, from coordinate 27,216,918 downwards.
AAGGGTTTGACTCATGAGAAATAAAACAATCAGTATGTGAAAAAAAATTCATACAAAACAAAAAGCAAATATTTATGAATTGTACAATACACATATTGATTTGTCTGGAAAACTGCAAAGCCCAGTACTGTATATAATTCAAGCTAAGAGGTTATTTTTCTATTAGAGTATGAGAATTCCAAATTTTTACTTTGTTGTCATCTGAGAGTTCCCAGTGAGAAGGTGAGACACTCAACCTTTAAATTACTGAACAAGGGAAGCCAGGCAGCTACCCATGCATGGGGTAGGAGAAAGGGATTTGAACTAGAAATAAGAAAATTTAAATTGTAGACAGTGCACTGAAAAACTTTACTTGTAAACTTTATTCCTAACGAATTCAAAACCAGGCAGCTCCCCATGCATGGGGCAGTAGAAAGGTTTTGAACTAGAAATAAGAAAATTTGAATTGTAGACACTGTACTGAAAAACTTTATTTGTAAAGAGGGTAATATGACTTGTCTTACTTTCTTCACAGGATGTTGTAAAATCAAATAAGATAATTACTGCAAAATGCTACACCAACATAATTTTTTTTTTAGACGCAGTCTTGCTCTGTTGCCCAGGCTGGAGTGCAGTGGCGTGATCTCGGCTCACTGCAACCTCTACCATCCAGGTTCAAACCATTCTCCAGCCTCAGCCTCCCAAGTAGCTGGGACTACAGGTATGGACCACTGCATCCAGCTAATTTTTGTATTTTTAGTAGATATGGGGTTTCACTGTGTTGGTCAGGCTGGTCTTGAACTCCTGACCTCAGGTGATCTGCCCACCTAGGCCTCCCAAAGTTCTGGGATTACAGGCATGAGCCACCATGCCCAGCCCACAAATGTAAATTAATAACAACACAAAAACCAGGCTTCTGCATGCCAGGCACTGTGCTACATACTTTATAAATTTTTAACTCATTCAATCCTCTCAAATAGCCAATGAGATTATGTGATGTGATTATGGGGCCCAGAACACTGGGCCCCAAAATACCCTGAGGTCAGTTCTCCCTGATGTATGCATTTTAGAGGTGGTCATATGTATGTTTAACAAATATAGGCCGGGCGCGGTGGCTCACACCTGTAATCCCAGCATTTTGGGAGGCAGAGGCGGGCGGATCACGAGGTCAGGAGATTGAGACCACCCTGGCTAACACAGTGAAACCCCGTCTCTACTAAAAATACAAAAATTAGCTGGGCGTGGTGGCGGGCGCCTGTAGTCCCAGCTACTCGGGAGGCTGAGGCAGGAGAATGGCATGAACGCGGGAGGCGGAGCTTGCAGTGAGCCGAGATTGTGCCACTGCACTCCAGCCTGGGCGACAGAGCGAGACTCCCTCTCAAAAAAAAAAAAAAAAAACCACCACAAATATAGTTCATTAGTATTTTCATACATTAATAAATAATAGGTAGTATGTTTAATTATGATCTAGTTAAACACTGAGCCACTTCTGTTTCTTGTGATTCTAATTATTATCATTATTATTACTGAGACAGGGTCTCACTCTGTCACACAAGCTGGAGTGCAGTGGCCTGATCATAGCTCACTGTAACCTCAAACTCCTGGGCTCAAGTGACCCTCCCACCTCGGCCTCCTGAGTAGCTAGGATTACAGGTATGCACCACAACACCTGGCTAATTTTTTATTTTTTATAGAGAGCATCTCACTATTTTGCTCAGTTGGTTTCAAACTCCTGGTATGAGGCAATCCTCCTGCCTCAGCCTTCCAAAACAGTGGGATTAGAGGTAGTATAAACCATTGTGCCTGGCCCTGCTTCTAATTATTTTTAAGAAAAGAATAAAGAAATAAAAGAAAAGGAGACTGTTGGTTGAAGAGAGAAGGCCAGACATGGTGGTTCATGCCTGTAATTCAAACACTTTGGGAGGATGAGGTGGAAGGATACCTTGAGGACAGGAGTTCAATCTGGGCAACATAGTGAGACCCGCTTCTCTACAAGAAAAAAAAAAGAGGAATCTTCTTTCACCTTTTCCTCATGTATTTGTTTTAGCCCAAAGAAAAGGAAGCCTCTACTGCACTTCTGCCCTCTCTTAATTTATCCCTTCTTTTTTTCCTTCTCATAGGAGTGACTGAGATGATATTTACAGTTGGGGACATTCATTGCACCAGTTTCACTGGTAGGCTAGACCAATATTGAAGGCTAAAGATCAGTGCTTGTGACTGTTTTGTCCTCTCATTCACTTCTGACCCCAGGTCCACAGATTATATTTCACTCCCTGGAAAAGTGGCAAGCACACGTGGATGGGGCCTGAAAACCACATTTTAGAAGGAGGCTTGTGGCCTTTGCCTTTTGTCTGCTGTTTGGGTAAGTAGAACCGGGGTCTACTCTGAAGGCTCTACCTGTGTCTTCATAGCAGCATGCCTGAAGATGCAGGTACCAAGATCTTCTCTGCCAGAAGGTTTTCCTGGCCTTTGCAGCTCTCAGCAGACAGGGTAGCTCCTCTCTGCAGCTAGTCCTCCTGCCCTACCTCCTCTGCCCTGCTCTGGCTGAGCCCAGGGCTTTTATGGACCTGAGAGGGGAGGAAGTACGTGCTGATTGGTCCATGGGTGGCCAAGGGCAGGCCCAGAAGAGGCACCACAAGTCCCCACTCCAGTCCTTGGGACTGGCAGCCCAGCACCCAGACTCAGGCCTTCCCTGGCCTGAAGGAGGGGCCTTACTGGGGACCTGCCGCCTTCCACCCAGGAATCTGTCTGCCTCCTGCTGCCATTCATGGCCCTCAGGCTCTCAGGACTTTGCTCCGAGATCCAAGCAGGCATCCACAGCAGGGAGAAGCCAGGCAGCAGGGGCAGGCACTTCTGAGCCTGCAAGAGCAGGGGGTCCTTCCCAGGCGCCCAAGAGTGCAGGGATGCCTGAGTCTGCCGCCTCAGTTTGGGCAGCTGCAGTGGAGGCCTAGGGAGCTCCCGCCCCATCTTGGAAGGGGCATGGCTCTCTTGGGCTTCATGGACTGTGCAGCCCCAGCGGTGCCTCCCTGCTGCAGCTGGGGTGATGGCAACAGCAAGCTGTATGGAGCAGTGGCTGTCATCAGTGGCACCCTAATCCCCTAACAGAAATCCAAACTGTAATTTGTGAAACTTTATCTCGTTTGCTAGAATGGAACTGCATATTCTTCTCTGTCTCCGGGTGTGACATAGGATTTGACCCATAGTAGTAGTGACTTAAAAAATGCTTATTGGATGAATTAATAAAGTATTTTTTAAAGTAAAGTTTGAAAGAGAATTTGTAAAGGAGCATAGATTTCCAGAAAGATGAGAAGGTAAACTTAGCTTAGACTGGGCAAGGAGGAATATAGACTTTCATAAAACAAAGCCAAAGTACTCTGGACTAAAAAAATACTGAACTTCAGAACTAACAGAAGGATACAAACTGAAAGGCCAGAGTCAGAAGAGAAGGGCAAAAGTCCACAGGCAGTAGCAGACATGAAAATTAGCTGTCGGCAGGTGAGCTGCTCTTCTATACACCTCTCTATGGGTAGGAACTTGAAATATCCACTATCTGTCTCCTGGCAGTTAAAGCATCTTCAGAAGTACAGTCAAGATATCTGTCAATATCATGTGTTTTACATGTCAAACGGAAGCAAACTAGCATGTTACAGCTTAAACTTCTTAAAACATATGTGAAAAGTGTAGGCAGATTCTACTTTTTAAAAATATTGTTTTGTGAGTTAACGGTATTTTTATCAAAATAATAAATGTACTTAAAAACAAATATGAAAAAATAGTAGTTCCTACTGCACCATTCACCAGTCCCCAAAAGCATATTGTAATAGTCAACTCTTCATTTTTTATCTATTTCTTTTAGCATATTTCTCAATAATATGCTTACATTGCTATTTTTGATTTACTGGTTTTAAAAATGTATTGACTTCCTTTGATGGAGAATAAAGCTCATCCCCAATTTCATTTTTCAATAGAGCTCACAACTTGGGGTAAATCAATAGTATTATTATAAATATGTAATTATTGTTTACTATTGTGATAAATGACTTATGATTATGATTTTGGGTTTCTTCTGTTTGCTTTACATCTCTTTATTTTTCCTAGAGTTAACCACTGCCTTATTTTTTCATCTGTTTGATTTTCTTTTTTTTTTTTTTTTTTGAGACAGGGTCTCAGCCTGTCACCCAGACTGGAGTGCAGTGGTGCAATCATGGCTCACTGCAGCCCTGATCTCCTGGGCTCAAGCAAGCCTCCTGCCTCAGCATCCCAAGAAGCTGGGACTACAGGTGCGCACCACCACACCTGGCTAATTTTTGCATTTTTGGTAGAGACAGGGTCTCACTATGTTGTCCAGGCTGGTCTAGAACTCCTGGGCTCAAGCGATCTTCTCTCCCTGGAATCCCTAAGTGCTGGGATTGCAGGTGTGAGCCACCGTGCCTGGCCCAGCTTTTCACTTAAAAAAAAGAAAAAAAGCCCATTAGCTATATCTCTTCAAAATCTCTATTTTTTGCCTTAAAACTACTTTCTCCCTCCAGCATTAAGCCTTCCTAACAACTATCCTCGCCTTCCAGGATTTCTTTCCTCTTCCCTTCCAAACTCTCTCTTATGCCAAACACTTTAGCTCTGCACCAGTCTCATGTTCTTAACTTGATGCAACACCATTTGTTTCTACTTACGCCAGTTAGGCAAAGGCCCCTAGATTGATTCTCTAGTTAATTAGGATCCATTTTTCTTAGAAGTCAGTGAAGAATTATTAATAATATATTTTCCTCTTTCATGTCAAATTCAAAATAATGGTTTATTATATACACTAAAATAAGAGTTGAACTAATTTCAGTTTTTCCCTTTATAATATAAGGAGATGCACATAAAAATCTAAGTTTACCTAGCACCAAATTTCCAGTTTTTTCAGATATGTTTTGTGCCACTTATAGATTCATGCATGGGTAGCTGTCCAAGCAATCCAACAAAGAGTGGGTTAGTTGAAAGTGGAACAAGGGAAATCAAGACCATCATGGAGTCTTCCAGAGAAAGGCAAGTGAAATGGAGCATAGCTAGGGTGGGATTGGGGTAGAAGGCAATATAGCATCCAGTGTTTGATTTTCTGGGCTGCAAAGAACTGTTGGACTTTCAGGTAGAGAATTAGGTAGAGACTAGATTACAAAGGGTCTTGGGGCCAAACTGAGGCACTTTTTTTTTTAATCAATAAGCAATGGCAACAAATTCCCGTGGAATGTCAAAGACTTATCTTGGTAAGTACAAAATGGAAAGAAATATGAAAAAAGAAGGAAGAAAAAAGGAAGAGGAGAGAACCAAAGAAAAAAGAAATAAAAGAATCCTAAGAGTTGGAAGAAATCTTGGCATGTACTTTTTTTCTTTTTCAAGTTAAAAAATGGGGGTCTCTCTATGTTGCCCAGGCTGGTCTCAAACTCCTGGGCTCAAGTCATCCTCCCGCCTTAGCCTCCCAAAGTGCTGGGATTACAGGAGTGAGCCTCCATGCCCGGCAGGCATTTATTTATTTAGCCCCACCTCCTGCCCAGTGCTGGAATCCTTTCTTCAAATCTAGTACTCAGAGTTCTATATCCCAGAGCTTGCCTAGAATTTTAATTTTAACTTTTTATTTTGAGATAATTGTAAATTCACCTGCATTGTGAGAGATTCTGTATACCCTTCATCCAATTTCCCCCAATGATGACAGCTTACATAACTAAAGTACAAAATCAAGCCAGAAAATTAATCCTGATATAATCCATCAACTTTATTCAGATTTCATCAGTTTTATAGGTACTCATGTGTGTGTGTGTGTGTGTGTGGGTGTGTGTATTTTGTTCTTTGCAGTTTTATCACAGGTATACATTTGTATGACCTCCACCACAGTCAAGACACAGAATGGTTCCATCACAGGGATCCCTCATACTTCCCTGTTATAATCACAGATACCTCCCTCCCTATGCCACCTGCCCTAACCCCTAGCAACTACTAATCTGTTCTCCATCTCTATAATTTTCTAATTTTAGTAATGTTATTCCATTAGGTCATTCTTGCATTGCTATAAAGGAATACCTGAGACTGAGTAATTTGTAAAGAAAAGAGGTTTAATTGGTTCTGTAGGCTGTACAAGCGTGGTGCTGGCATCTGCTCAGCTTCTGAGGAGGCCTCAGGGAGCTTTTACTCATGGTGGAAGATGAAGCAGGAGCAGGTACATCACACAGCCAGACAGGAGCAAGAGAGAGAGTGGGAGGGTAAGTGCCACACACTTTTTAAAAAACCAGATCTCATGGGAACTCACTCACTCTCACGAGGACAACACTAAGCCATGAGGGAATCTGTCCCCATGATCCAAATGCCTCCCACCAGGCCCCACCACCAACACTGGAGATTACACTTCAACATGAGATTTGGGGGAACAAGTATCCAAACTATATCAGTTATATAAAGGGAATCATGCAGTATGTAACCCTTTGAGATTTGGCTTGTTTCACTCAATATAATTCCCTGATAACCCATCCAAGTTGTTTCAAGTATTAATGTTTTACTCCTCTTCATGGCTTAGTAGTATTCCATGGTACATGTGTACTACAGTTTATTGTGAATAAAGCTGCTATGCATGGAAGGGAAGGATAGGAAGAGATTTGTTAAAGGATACAAAATTACAGCTAGACGGGAGGAACAACTTCTAATAGAGCTGTAAGATGACTACAGATAACAATAATATATTATATAGTTTCGAATAGCTAGAAGGAGGATGTTACATGTTCCCAACACAAAGAAATGATAAATGTTTGGGATGATGGCTACACTAATTACCATGATCTGAGATCATTATATGTTATCAGCATTGAAACATCACTATGTACCTCATGAATATATACAATTATTATTTGTCAAATAATATAAAATAAAAAAAATTTTATGAGCATGCTTGTAGAGGGTTTTGTGTGAACATACACTTTCATTTCTCTAGGGTAAATGCTCAGAAATGCAATGGGCCATATGGTAGTGGCATGTTTTGTTTTTTTGGGAACTTCCAAACAGTTTTCCAAAGTGGTTGTACCATTTTACAATCTCACCAGCAACATATGAGTGACCCAGTTTCAATATATAGACATTTTATTTTGTTTTATTCAGTTATGGAGGGGATTTTATTTTTATTTTATTTCCATAGCTTCTGGGGTGCAAGTGGTTTGTGGTTACATGGATGAATTGTATAGTGGTGAAGCCTGAGATTTCAGTGCACCTGTCACCCAAGTAGTATACACTGTACCCAATACATAGTTTTTTATCCCACACTCTCTCCTACCCTCCCCCTTCTGAGCCTCCATAGTCCATTATACCACCCTGTATGCCTTTGTGTACCCACAGCTTAGCTCTCACTGCTAAGTGAGAATATACAGTATTTGGTTTTCTATTACTGAGTTACATCACTTGGAATAATGGCCTCCAGAACCATCCAAGTTGCTGAATAGCAATATTTTGTTCTTTGTTACAGCTGAGTAGTATTCCATGGTGTACACATACCACATTTTCTTTATCCACTCATTGGTCAGTGGGCCCTTAGGATGGTTCCATATCTTTGCAATTGGAAATTGTGCTGCAATAAACATACAAGGGCAGGTATCTTTGATATAATGACTTCTTTTTGAGGGGGTAGATACCCAGTGTTGGGAATGCTGGATATACTGGTAGATCTCCTTTTAGTTCTTAAGAAATCGCCATACTGTTTCCCATAGAGGTTGTCCTGATTTATATTCCCATAAGCAGTGTATAAGCATTCCCTTTTCATCACATCCTGGCCAACAGCTATTATTTTTTGACTTTTTAATGATGGCCATCCTGGCTGGAGTAAGGTTATGCTATCTCATTGTGGTTTTAATTTGAATTTCCCTGACGATTAGTGATGTTGGGCATTTTTTCATGTGTTTGTTGGCCATTTGTCTATCTTCTTCTGAGAATTGTCTATTCATGTCATTTGCCTACTTTTTGATGGGATTTTTTTTTCTTACTAATTTGAGTTCCTTGAAGATTCTGGGCATTAGTTTTTGTCAGATGCATGGTTTGCAAATATTTTCTCCTATTCTGTGGGTTGTCTGTTTACTCTGATGGTTATTAATACATAGACTTTTAAAACAAACAAAAAGGTTTTAAAAAAAATAAAACAGTCTGGGTGCAGTGGCTCATGTCTATAAGCCCATCATGTTGGGAGGCCAAGGCAGGACAATTACTTGAGGCCAGGAGTTTGAGACCAGCCTGGTCGAGGTAGCCAAACCTCATCTCTACAAAAATAAAAATAAAAAAGTCAGGCATGGTGGTGCATGTCCGTAGTCCTAGTCTCTGAGAGCTAGCTAGGGCTACAGACATGTACCATCATGGAGGATTGCTTGAGCCCAGGAGATCAAGGTTACAGTGAGCTATGATTTCACCACTGTACTCCAGCCTGGGTGACAGAGCAAGACCCTGTCTCAATAATAATAATAATAATCAATAAGTGATGAAACAAAACTTAATGCAGATTTAGGCTTGCTTGTTGTCAACATCGCTGCCTTCCTCCTATGTAATGGAAAAGAGGAACCAAGAATTCCATTTCTTAGAATCCCCTTCCCCATATAGTTCCAGAGTAGCATCTGCAAATGAGAGGCACCCAAATGAGCTGCAGAAAGTAGGCAATAAGGTGAAGTCATCACTCTCTGGAGGCCACTCTAAGCGGATATGTGGGCTGACTGCAGACCTGAAGTTCCCAGCAGTTTCTGGATGAACTAACCTGTGGGAATCCCCTATTTTAGTCAGCTGCATGCAAGCTGTGATGACTTGTGGGAGCTTCCCACAGGTTTCTTGATTTTATCATTATGCATTTTTAATTACCTTGCTGTGTTATGTATTATGTATTATCTCAAAATGATTGATTCTGACAATGGTTGTGACCTTTTGCTAATGGCACGTGAACACGGAGTGTTTGGGTTAGGATTGAGTTCAAATACATAAGATAAAAACCCAACTTACTAGCTTACACAAGTCAGAAATTTGTTTTTTCTCATTTATCTTCTCATGTAAGATAAATCAGGGCTGTTGGGTTGTTCTGCAACATCGTCAGTGTTGGCCAGTCTCCTTCCTCTGTCTATAATCCCGTCCATAGTGCTGGATTCTACCCTCGAGCTTGTTTCATGATCACTGGACAGCTGCTGCTCGTTAGCATTCCAGGCAGAAGGAGGTAGGAAGAGAAGAGTATATGTGCGTGAGTACTCTCCTAGATGCTCCACCCAATGACCTCTTCTGACATATCTTTGACCACCACTATCTGCAAGGGAGGTTGGTAAATATACTTCTCAGGGATGCTGGATAAAATATTGCATGGAGCATGCTTATGCTAAAAGTATTTATTGTTCATCTGAAATACAAATGTAACTGAGAGTCCTGCATTTTTATTGCTAAGTATAGTATGTACAACCCTAATAGTTTTATCTGACCAAATTCATTGCCATACTTGACAACATGGGGTTCTAACTGGAAGTTGAGTAGGCAACTGGTGGTCTCTGCCATGTTGAGCCTTCAGTCTATTGCTTGGTCTCCCACTTTTTAACCCATGCCTCCTCTCTCTATCCCTAGGGTAATTAGCCAGTTTTAGTTTCTACTAGGGTTCCCCATCTACTGCCATATCACCTGATTTCTAATATTCAAATGCTTTTTTCTTTTTTTTTTTTTTTTTGGCAGCACAGTAAACTCCATTGTGTGTGTGAAGTTTCCCTTGAAAGGTGAATTGAGAGGGGGGCATTTAGTTCAAACTGAATGTTAAAGACAACTGCATTGTAATATAATTTCTCACACTAACTTTACAGCCTAAATGTTCAGTTCCTCTTCCTTATGTAAAATGTCTCCTATCTTACTGCTTTTGTAGCACTTAGCTCTTTGTTTTAATAATTAATTTTAAGGTCATCAGTATAAGAACAAAAATGGTGATGTAATTATACTAAAAGGAGAGCAGAGGGGAACTTGGGAAAGGTGTGGAGAAGCAAACCGTGTTATCATCCATTGCAGTAGGAAGTCAATATACCATGTTTCACATTGATAAATCATAAATAGTTGAATATGCATATTATTTTAAAGGTTCCTTTGGACTTTGGTGGAGTGGAGCAGGAAACCATTGCTTCTCCATATAAATCATTTTGTATTATTCAATTTTTTTCAAACCTTGTGATTGAATTATTTCACTGAAAATTAAAATGTAAAGGAGAGGGCGGGCATGGTGGCTCATGCCTGTAATGCCAGCACTTTCGGAGGCTGAGGTGGGTGGATCACGAGGTCAGGAATTCAAAACCAGCCTGGCCAACATGGTGAAACCCTGTCTCTACTAAAAATACAAAAATTAGCCGGGCATGGTGGCAGGCGCCTGTAATCCCAGCTACTCAGGAGGCTGAGGCAGAGAATTGTTTGAACGTGGGAGGCGGAGGTTGCAGTGAGCCGAGATTGTGCCACTGCACTCCAGCCTGGGCAACAGAGCGAGACTCCATCTCAAAAACATAACATAACATAACATAACATAACATAACATAACATAACATAACATAACATAACATAACATAACATAAAATGTAAAGGAGAAACTACTGACACTACATGGTAACTTTTCCTCTTGGAATGAATAGGACAGCACAGCAGAAAACAGTTATAATTAATCAGTAATAAGCACCAACAGAGTGGGCCCTAGTAGACAATGAACTACACAAAGGTTGTATTTGGTCTTCAGAACCTTCCCACCTGCAGGGATCAGAAAGCCATCTGCCCTGCTGTAGATTACCAATGAAACTTAAAGTGCTACATTTTTTTCATGGATTTTTTAAAATTTGAAAGGTAGGAAGTATTAAGGTCCAAAAACAAAACTGTGGGTAGAACTCTGGGTCTCAGTGGTTAGAGAAGCTGTGGGGCAGCAGGCTTTCTAGTGCTCCTGAAATCTTGCTAAGGACATGGTTAGGTAAATTTTACTTGTTGGTAAGGCTGTCACACTAGGAATCATTTACTTGCTCTAGAATGTTGAGTGATATTATTATTATAAGAAATTAAGATCATTTCTCCAGCTTTACTTGACTTTAAAATTTAAAATAGCCTAAAACAGTTTTGAAAAAAATAGATAAACTTCTAATTCATAGCCTATTTTAAATCAAGCCATCATAATACGATTGTAGCTTTAATGGGGACTGCTTTGAAATAGATCACTTTGTGATTACCATAAGGTATATTATCTCCTCTACTTTCAAAATAATTGCTCCAACTTACAACACTGCACTATAGCATAGGCAGGATGTAATGTGATTTTTATTTATTTTATTTTATTTTTTTGAGACAGAGTCTTGTTCTGTAGCCGAGGCTAGAGTGCAATGGCGCTATCTTGGCTCACTGCAAGCTCCGCCTTCTGGGTTCACGCCATTCTTCTGCCTCAGCCTCCCAAGTAGCTGGGACTACAGGGGCCTGCCGCCACACCCAGCTAATTTTTTGTATTTTTAGAAGAGACGGGGTTTCACCATGTTAGCCAGGATGGTCTTGATCTCCTGACCTTGTGATCCGCCTGCCTCGGCCTCCCAAAGTGCTGGGATTACAGGCGTGAGCCACTGCGCCCAGACCTGTAATGTGATTTTTAAAGCTCTTCATGTGGGATGACTGGAAGAAATGTTTCATTCCTTTTTAATTTTATATATTTTAAAATTGGAATAATCTTTCATTGTTTTTGTTCATTCCAAAATAAGACACATTCATTGTAAAAATTAAAACATACAAAATTACATAAAATATACTGGAGCAGAATGTATTTTATTTTCCAAAGAAGGTTGCACCCATCCCACATACTATTTATTTATTTATTTTTGAGATGGAGTCTCCCTCTGTCACCAGGATGGAGCGCAGTGGCGCGATCTTGGCTCACTGCAACGTCCGACTCCCTGGTTCAAGCGATTCTTCTGCCTTAGCCTTCCAAGTAGCTGCGATTACAGGCACGCGCCACCATGCCCAACTAATTTTTGTATTTTTAGTAGAGACAGGATTTCACCATGTTGGTCATGATGGTCTCGATCTTCTGACCCCGTGATCCGCCTGCCTCGGCCTCCTCAAATGCTGGGATTACAGGTGTGAGCCATTGCGCCTGGCCCATACTCTTCTTATAATGAGATGTTGACATTCCTCCATTGAGAGGTAGTGTCTGGGTTCCCAACTTTTGGACCTGGGCAGATCTTTGAAACTGCTTTTGATCAATAGATTGTGGCAAAAGCGACTTCTAAGGCTAGATCATAAAAGGCAATATGGCTTCTGCCTGGTTCTCTCTCTCTCTGCACTTGTGTCTTTGGAGCCCTGAGTTGCCATGTAGGAAGTCTACTAACTTGAAACCTCCATGCTAAAGAGATCACATATTAAGAAACACCACAGAGGATGCCAGGTGCAGTGGCTCATGCCTGTAATCTCAGCACTTTGGGAGGCTGAGGCAGGCGGATCACTTGAGGGCAGGAGTTCAAGACCAGCCTGGCCAACATGGTAAAACCCCAGCTCTACTAAAAATACAAAAATTAGCCGGGTGTGTGCCTATAGTTCCAGCTACTCAGGAGGCTGGGACTTGCCTGTAAATGCCTCCCAGTAGTACAGTCCAAGCTACTCGGGAGGCAGGAGAATCGCTTGAACCTGGGAGGTGGAGGTTGCAGTGAGCTGAGATGATGGCACTGCACTCCAGCCTGGGCGACACAGTGAGACTCTGTCTCGAAAGAAGATAAGAGAAGATAAGATAAGAGAAGAGAAGAGAAGAGAAGAGAAGAGAAGAGAAGAGAAGAGAAGAGAAGAGAACATCAAGAAACACCACAGAAGGATAAAGTGAGGGTCCCAGGAACAGTCCCAACTTTTCAAGCCTTCCCAGCTCAGGCACCAGAAGTGTGAATGAACCTGCCTTCAAGATGATCCCACCCCCAGCCACAGTCTTGCTATAATCTCATGGGAACCCCGATGCAGAATTCCCCAGTTAAGCAGCTCCCAAATTCCTGATTCACATAAACAGGGGGAGCTAATACATGAATAGTGCTACCACATTTTAAGGGGAGTTGTTATGCAGCATTCCATTAACAGGACAGCCCCTTCTTTCCTCACCCAAGATATAACTACCTGTAAAGACTTCTTAATGCATATGTAAACTTTTTTAAAAATGAGATTATACTATGTATATTACTATATAACCTTCTTCTCCCATTTAATAATGTATCATGGACATCTTTGCATATCAGCACATAGATCAACCTCATTCTTTAACAGCCACATAATACTCCACCATATGGATGTACCACAATTTATTTTCCAATCCCTTACTGGAATGTATATATATGTATATAGAGTCTTTTTAAAATACATGTTTATATAAAAATACATACTGCAGTGGATCACTTGAGGTCAGGAGCCTGAGACCAGCCTGGCCAATACGGTGAAACCCAGTCTCTACTAAAAATACAAAAATTAGCTGGGCATGGGTAGTCCCAGCTACTTGGGAGGCTGAGGCAGGAGAATCGCTTGAACCAGGGAGGGGGAGGTTGCAGTGAGCTGAGATCCTGCCACTGCACTTCAGCCTGGGTGACAGAGCGAGACTCTGTCTAAAAAAAAATATATATATATAATGTGTATATATATAACGTATATATATAATGTGTATATATATAACGTATATATATGTGTATATATATAACGTATATATATATAATGTGTATATATAATATATAATGTATATATAATGTATATATAAAATGTGTGTATACAATGTATATATTATATATAATGTATATATAATGTATATATATTCTGTATTTTGTATAAATTTATAATCATACTATCATACTATTTTGTAAACTAATATTCAATATATTGTACTTCCATATTACATGTTCTCTAAAATATTACTTATATTGCTGGAATGACAGCTATCATCTGAATGTATCATTATTAATTTAAATGAGTCTATTGCTGGACATTTATATTGTTCTCTATAAAAAATGCTGCAGTTATCATTATATTGGATACACTTGTCCAATCATTCTTTAGAATACATTTCTAAAAATAAAAATGCTAAACCAAAAGGTATTTTGTACAAACTACTAATGGCATCTGTGTTCCAATTAATGCTCCCATCAAAAGAAAACAAGCATATGTATTCCCTATCCATTTCTTAACTCTGATCATTTAAAAAATATTTAATCTTTGCTGATCTCACTGATTAAAAGTATTTTATGTTTTATTCTCATTTACATTGATTTGACTATTTTATAAGACAGAGCCCACATGAGTTTTGGTGCAGACTACCCTTGAGGAGACCATTGGAACAGGAACTCTCAACACCACAGGGAGCCCTGCCTAGAGAATCCTAAGCCCTCCTGCCTCCTGGACCATCATGTGAACTATAGCCTTGCCCAGAGATGACTAGCTTTCTCACACTGCACCCGTTAGCTTTACTAAGTGTAAAGATACTTATTTGGGGCAAAGGTACTTGTGACATATAAGTGACATTGGGAGAACCTCAATGCAGGGCCTTTTTACTCTGGTTATTCTAGGCTACAAAAGGCATTTTGGTCCATTTGGAATACAAGTGCAAAGTGAGGGAGTCCAGTCTCATTATTAGAATTGGTCTTGCTAGACTGTATTTCAATATGATCTCATCTGATAAGAGCCAGGGACCTTCTGCAGGCTCGCAGGAGGGGAACGTTCTTACGGTACTGGTTAAGGAGCTCTAGGACTCAGGGAGAGGGAAAGGTATGGGCCCATAGCTAAGTAACGAACTTTCTTTCTAACTGTCCCTGTGCCCTGCCAGTGCTGTGCCCAATGTCATGTTCATTTCCATACACAATTCCTCCTTTCTAAAATGCCTCTTCCTTTCTCCAGGTGAGCAGACCCTATGCCTTCTGGCTTTTTTTTTTTTTTTTTTCTCTGAGACAGTCTCCTCTGTCACCCAGGCTGGATTGCAGTGGTGCAATCTTGGCTCAATGCAACCTCCGCCTACTGGGTTCAAGTGATTCTCGTGCCTCAGCCACCCGAATGGCTGGGACTACAGGTGCACGCCACCATGCCAAACTAATTTTTGTATTTTTAGTAGAGACGGGGTTTCTCCATGTTTTGCTGGTCTTGAACTCCTGGCTTCATGTGATCCACCCACCTTGGACTTCCAAAGGCTATGATTACTGGCATGAGCCACTGCGCCTGGCCCCTTCTGGCTTTTCTAAGTCAGAAGTATCTGTTCCTCACTTAAGGCACTCACTCCTTTTTGCCTCATATTCTGATTATTTTCTTACTGATTTCCCGTACTACACCGGACTTTAGACTGCGTCTTTTTCACCTTTATCTCTCTGCGCAATGCACAATACGATACTAGCGGGATCTTTTTTATCAAATGTTCCTAGTCTCTTTCCTTTATTTTAAGTCAGAGGTCAGCAAACTATGGTCCTCAAACCAAATGCAGCTCTCTACCTGTTTTTATAAAGTTTTATTGGAACACAGCTATGCATATCATTTATGTATTGCCTGTGGCTGCTTTTAATCTAAGACAGCATTGTGGAGTAGTTGGGACAGATCTTATAGCCTGCAAAGCCGAAAATATTCACTATCTGGCCCTTTGCAGAAAAGGCTTGCCAACCCTTGTTCATTTTTAGAAATAAATTTGTCCTTTGGACTGTATCCATTAAACCACTCACTGCCTTTTCTCTTGCCTTATGAAATCTGTAAGCATGATAATTATGAAGTATTTTGAGAAATATTCATCATAAAATATAATCTCATTTGGGGAAGTGTCAGGTATCAGTTTAAAGGTACTGTAGTAAGCTCATATACAACCAAAGAAGTGTCTAGACCCTTGTCAGAAAGTTGTCCTTGAAAAACAGTAACGTTGAATTGCAGATTTGTAGATAATTTCTCAGAGCTTGGTTAATGTGAATCTGCCACATGGAGAGCCAGTTATGTTCCACCCCAGCTGGGATTAGTCTCTCCTTCCTTAATGCTTCCAGAATCCTTCATTGTGTCTGTCACAGCATTCATATCAATTGGCCTTATATTAATTTTTTTACAAGTGTGTCTCAAGATAGGGTTATAAACACCCCATGGTAAGGAACTCTTTTGTTCAATTCTGTTGCTTCCATAGAGTTTTTGCAAAGTAGATATCGATGAATGGTCACTTAATAAATGTCATTAATGCAAGCATGAAAAATAGGTTTATAATGACATTGTGAAAACATGGGCAAAACCTCAGCAGAGATTCTTCAAATTGAGCTTCGTGAATGTACATTTTCAATACCATTTATTCTGCTTATGTCCCTATTTAATTTGCTCATATATGTGTATAGAAAGGAAGTCATCTCAAGAATGTCTACTATACAATAGCACTTTGTTATTTAAAAACAAAACAAAATAAAACAATTCTCAAGAAAAAGAAAACGCCTTGTTTCTAGAAAAAGAAAATGCCTTGTCTGAGGTCAAGTGGTTTTCTCAGGAAATTAACATTATTGTGAACCGAAAATCCTGCTGGACCCATTTTCTTAACTATTCCCCTTATTGTAAAACTTCAGCAGGTAGTAAACCCTATTTAGCAATCCAAGTGACAGATGACCCAACAGACCTCTGGGTTTTACCTATGTGAAATAATCTTTATAGTCAGGCCCAGTGGAGTCTAACTAGGAAAGCAAAGCATCCCTAGGGTACTTTATTTGCCTTTGTAGAAAGCAGAGCTCTTGGTTGCAAAGTGATAGAAACATAGCTTGAATTAGCCTAACAAAATGGGGTAGGGTGTGGGGGTTGCTGGTTTAGAAAATCCAAGAAGGAGGTGAGTAACCAAATGATGGGGAAAATTGTAATGCAGCTAGGCCTCAAGGAACTATGGGAACCAAGAACTGGACGGCTGCCAGGACTCCCTTCTTCTCTGTTTGGAATCTCTGCCTCTTTCTACGTGCTACTCCCATTCTTGTTCATTGTAGATCAACTTTCTCTACCAGAAAGCAAACCTAACCATACACAACTTCCTTTTTCCCCCTTTTTTCACCTTATAGCTTTACTCTTTGAGAGGGACAGTCCCTCTTTATTTTAATTAGAAAAATCCCAGAGAAAAACTTTGAGCCCCAGTTGAGTCAAACCCAACAGGAGCTGTGGTCATATAAGAAAATGACAGCCTCTAACATAGATGTGGGTGTAAAGGGGAGGGAGAAATGGAGGAGGAGTGACAGTTCCTAAGAGAAGGGGGCTGGAAGGGTATTGAGTTGACAATTCCATAGATGTTCTCTGTCTTCTTTTTCAGGGTGTGGGCTATCCTATTTACAAACAAATTCTTAAGCTTCTGGAAAGACAAGAAAGAGGGCTAATGAAGAGCCTCTTTCTGACAGATGCCTCTCAGCCAAAGGGAAGAAGAGGTAAATGTTCACATTTGTTTGATGTACAGTCAATGAGTGGCCAATGGCTTCCCATCAGCAAGGACTGAGAGAAACTCACAAGTACCTAAAATGTTTAACACCTAAAATGGATCTTCCCAGTAAATACTGTGAGAGGGCTGGTCTATTTTCCTAATGCAAAAGGCTAAAACTCTGGGCTGCCTTATGGTTTCTCCAAGTCTTGCCCCAGGACTGCTTGCTGCCAGCCCATACAGGACCTTTGTGCAAATTAGAAAGTCATGCCCTCCTTGAGGCAGACCCAGTACCCACTCACTACCCTAGCAAGATGGCAGGACTCCTGTGTTGAGCACTGAATTTCAGCCTCCGTCTGCCCCTCAGACAGGCACCTTTGCGCAGGGCTCAAACTGCACAAACATCTGTGGCAGCCCTAGGCCTACAAAGAAGAGGGTAGGGTAGGTTGCACCTTCTGCCCCTTCTCCAAACGCAAGGACTTACAACATCAATAAACATGAGACTTGGGTGGTAGGTTGGGCTTGGTGATTGAAGACAGTAGCAGGAATAGCAATAATGGCTGAATTCAAAGGACTTTAGGGATGGGTAACCCACCTCTGGGTACTGGAGCAACAGAGGCTCTGGGGATGGAGAGACCAGCAGTAAACTCCACTGGCTGAGCACCAGCAGAAGCAGCACCAATGTCACTGAGGTTCTTGGAATGATACGAGGAGCAATAGTGATGGTTAAGTCTCCCCAATTATAAACATATTTTTTGCTCAAGAATTTATGTAGCAGAATGCCTTAATACAGATTAAACTTTATTGTTTTATTTATTTTAACCTTTGAAACACTAAATATAACTCTCTTTTGAAGTATATGATTGTATAAGGATTTAAGGAAGCTGTCCCTAGAAAAAGTAATGTGAGGATTTAGAAGGGTGTATTCAAACTTGTAGACTAGCCACTCTTAGACGAGAAGCCACAGCGCCACTGAGTGAAAAGAGGGAAGAATCGGTGTATACAGGTTGACAGCCCAAAAGAAAGGCAATGGCTCCTGAAAGCGGTAACAAAGGGAGGGAAATAATCTAGAGCAGGGTCTGGCGGGGGCACCAGAATCTGGGTGTCCCCTCTGATTCCAGCTAGAGATCAATGTTCACCCAGGCAGATCCTGGAGCTGTGATCAGGGGATAGGTCTGCTGCAAGTGGCAATCATAGCAGCACCTAAAGCAATGGCCAGAATGGAGGAGCCCTCATCCCAGTGCTGCAGTCCAGGGAGTAAATGCCTAGGCAGTCTGCCACTTTGCTGTTAAATACCCATTTATTTTTGTGCTTCGAAGGAGCCGCCCATGAATGTTCCAGTCACTGTGTGAGTCAGTCTTGTTCCCCAAGTGCTGCTGCAATGCTACAGCCATCCCACCCTCTCCCCCTGCTTCCCGGACTCCATCTGAGACACTGCTCAATTCCCCTGGCTGCTGTTGAGCTAGGGGCTGGGCTGGGGCTCACACTCTGACACTAGGTAGAGGCCCAGGATTGCAGAGGGTGGGAGGATGGGGGAGACCTAGGCACTTGAGTATGTGACGAAAAGTGGCATTCAAATCCCTGAAGAAATGGCAGGATCTTTAAAAAATATTGGGAAGATTGGCTAGTAATTAGCAAGAAAATATTAAATCCTTACCTCATTGCACCAAATAAATTAGACAGGCTAAAAATTTACATGTGAACACTTTAAAACACAAAAGTAAAATAATACAGGGGAAAAATAATGATAAATAATGTTGAGTACAATTGAAAACTTCTGTGTGGCAAAAAAATCATACACAAAGTTGAAAGACAAATGACAAACTCAGGAAAATATTAACAATACTGTCCAAAGGCAAAGGGTTAATATCCACACAATAATAAAAGAGCTTACATAAATCAAGAAAAATTAACAATCTAATAGAAAATAATGGGTATAAGTCACAGATAAATTAAAAATGCAAATGGTCAACAAACATGGAAAAATGTTCAATTCACAAATATTCAGAAGGCAAATTAAACAATAATGAAATGATTTTCATCTATCAGACTGGCAAAGATCTCTAAAAATTGATCAAACACATGCATTGACATGGTTAGGAGAAACACACACTTTGTGTTTTTTCCGCGGGTATATAAAATAGCACAACTTCTCGAAAGGGCTATCTGACAAGAAGTATCAAACATAAGATGTGCAGACTCTTCACTGCAACAATTCTACTTGTCAGACTTTACTCCAAAGAGATAATACAAATTTGAAAACAGGTACTCACACTTTATTTATACTTTTGAAAAACAGGAAACAACTTCAGTGTTCCTCAGTAGGGGTTGGCTAAGTAAATTGTGGTCTAAGCATCCATGGAACACTATGCAGCCCTTAAAAAGAGTGACGCAAATCTATTAGGTTGGTGCAAAAGTAATTGCGGGTTTCAAAAGCTGAATATATAAACACAGAGAGATGGCTTCAATTATTGATACCTTGAGGCCCATTTATTCAATGATGTCAATTGTTATCCTTCCTCATCAGCAGAGTTTCTGATCATTCTACTATTATTATTATTGTTATTGTTATTTGAGACAGGGTCTCACTCTGTCACCGACTGGTGTGATCTCAGCTCCCTGCAGCCTCGACCTCCTGGGCTCAAGTGATCCCCCCAGCTCAGCCCCCTAAGTAGCTAGGACCACAGGCACACGCTGTCACACCTAGCTTAATTTTATTTGTTTATTTTTTTGTAGAGACAAGGTCTCAGTATGCTGTCCAGGCTGGTCTCAAACTCTTGGCCTCAAGCGGTCCTCCTGCCTTGAATCCAAAGTGCTGGGATTACAGGCATGAGCTGCTGAGCCTGGCCTCTACCCTTAATTAAAGACTCTGGCAACTGACATATAGTCTTTCAAACCACTATCATCCAAGGTTACTTAAATATCTGTGTGGACATATCATCCCATTTCTAGTCTCAGGAAATTTTGAATGCCTCATTTTCAATAAAATGCAGTAGATTGATACTCTACAGTCACATGCTCTCAAGGCCACAGTACACACAAACTGCCTCATCTCTAACATTACTAAATCAGGTATCCCTCTCTCTAATCACAGTCTCTTATCCTCTCAACTGGCATGCCTAACTGTCATAATACATTTGTTCCCTTTTTACTTCAGGTCCTCTAATCCACGCCCCCATTCATCTTAGACTTAATGATCCATCATTTCACACTTTCTCCTGCCAATATTTTAAGTACCTTCGCCTCATTATTCTCACTGCATCTGCAACAAAAGCTCCTATCCTTTGTTTTTGTTTTTCATACCTAGGCTGCCAAGCACTGCTAGATGATCACATCTTGGTAGACAAGTATAATGATACTTATCCGGGCCCTTTCCGACTAGGCCCTTTTCTTGGGTGCAGTTCCCTCAAAGGCAGAGCCTGAGACAAGGATCTGAATGTAAGTGGTTTATTTGGAGATAAACCCAAGTAAAAGAATGAACAGGAGAGAGAGAAGAGAGACAGAGACGGAGAGGGAAACGGGACAGAGTGGAGGAAACCAACACAGGGTGTGTTGATGAGCAGATTACTACAGTGGGCTCAGTTCCACTGGAGACCTCCAAGAGCCCACCTGTGAGTTGGCCCCCATATTTCTCTCTGTCATTGGTTGAGAATGGCTCTCGGTGGCATTAACTCCCTTTTATTCCAGGCTGCCTTATGCACAAGTCACACAAGCTCCCAGCTAGAGAACACCCCCCAGGCAAAGCTGTAGGTGCCTGCAATAAAAAGCTGTCAGCATGTTTGTACCTGAACCATGAGTGCCAAGGGGATTCAACGGGGCACCAACAGCACATGTTGCAGCCATCCTGTTCCAGTCTCCTTGACGTGTTACCCTAGTTACCCTCATCCCCCCTCCCTACAACCAGCTCAAAATTCCTCTCATCATTGCAAATCTCTGATGCTCTTGTCTCCTCACTCTCAGCAGATGACCTTGTCTCCTAGTTCACAAAGGAATATTGAAGATCTCAGAATGGAACTTGCCAAGTTCCTGCCAACAATTCTAACATGCCGCCCACATCCATACCCATCACTTCTCCCTCCTCACCTCTTCATTAGAGGATGCATTTCTCTCTTATCTAAGGCCAAACTTCTCTGCCTATTCTTGGTCCTGTCCCTTCCAGCTGCTTGGCCACTCTCCTCAGTTGATTGCCTCGTCTCCCTCGTGAGTCTTCAACGACTGTCTCTCTCACCTCCTCTCTCCCATCTTAAAACAAACAACTCTCGGTCAAATCCACATCCCATTCCATCTATTGTGCTGTCCCTCTCCTCCTCTCTCCCATCTTAAAACAAACAACTCTCGGTCAAATCCACATCCCATTCCATCTATTGTGCTGTCTCTCTCCTGCTCTTTACACCAGAGTTTATTGAAATAGTATCTTAGACATGTGGCCTCCAGTCTCCTCTCATTCATTTCCAATCAGTCACAGGTGATCTCCCTGTGGCAGAAGTCAGAGGACACCAGTCCTTATCCCTCTTGCCCTTTCAGCAGCATTTGACTCTGGACATTCATTTCTCCCCTGGACTCCCATTGGAGTGATTCTTTTGATTTTTCTCCTTTCTCTCTGGCTCCTCCCATCTCAGTCTCTTTATTCACCTCTTTGATGATGCTGTTTTCAGCTCTCCAACCTTCTTCACCAGTGGCCTTACCCACTTCTACACCATTAATTATCATGTCAAGGCTGATGATTCCCAGATCTACAGAAACAGTCCAGGTTTCCCCCCTGACTTGACCTAAATATGCACTTGCTTAACGCTCACACTCTGTTCTGTCATTTTAACCAAGTCATTAAATTTCCCTTAACCTACGTTCTTGGGCAAAACATGGAAATGAGAGCAACTACTTCTTTATTTTGAAATAATTCTAGAGTCACAGAGAGTTACAGAGATAGTACAGAGAGGTCCCCTGTACCCTCACGCAGTTTCCCCCAATGGTTATATTTTATATAACTATAGTACAATATCAAAACCAGGAAACTGACATTAAAACAATGTATATAGTTCTCTGATATGTTATCAAGTGTAGATTCATGAAACCACTACTGTAATCAGGACACAGAAGTATTCGGTCACCACAAAGATCCTCCTCATTTGCTTCTTTTTAAAAATGTTTATTTTTTTTAAATCCTCATCAGATCCTTGAGAGAAGGGACATACATATAATTTTGCCATGTGTTCTCAGTGTCCAACATGTGCTCTTAAAAGGCATTGCTAAATGTTTGGGAAAACAAGAATGGAATAAAAGAAGGCAGATTCCATCTGTGGAGGTCACAGACATCAGCCTGGGAGCCAGGACAGACCATGAAACCTCTTAGCTCCATACCAGGAGCCAGGAGCCAGGAGCCTGAGGACAGAGGCTTCCTCCCCAGATTTACATCCTGTTGAATGAGATGTTGGCAGACACAGGCTAGAAGTCGGAGTGGTGAGGCTTACCTCACACTCATTCCAACAATCACAGCCCCTGTCTGTAGCAGAGAGGAAGGACTTTTTCAGTCCAGGACCTTTTTTGGAAATCTCTCACATCACACCACATGGCCAGTTCCCCACTCCAGCTATCTGATGCCTGCCCTGCTCTGCCTGACATCACTGGCACATTCCTGTGCTTGCTGGCAGCACCCAGGAGATCATCCCAACCTCTGCTTTTTTGCTACTCAGCCAGCATGTGGGACATTTGTCTCAAGGCTCAAGAAAAGTGTTTGGTCCTAGGGCATGATTTAAAAATTATGCTTAACAGTAATTGCCCTTAATAGGTCATATTTGTTTGCTCAGTAATTATCATAGTCAATAAGTGAACTCTGAAACTAAGAAGAGAGGCAAAACATAGAACAAAACAGCTAAAAAATGCAAAGACAGCTACACATATGTTCAGGTTATAAGCCCTATATAGAACGTGTGTGTGTCCGTGCCACCAAATTAGGTACTGTTGGAGTGAAAAATAAAGGAGTATTTATCCAGCAGTGAGCTATGTTATTATATTATAATAGGCTTTAATTAGAGAGAAAGTCAAGTTTGTGTTCCCTTAATAGCCTGGTTAAAGTCTCTGAAATTAGAAAACTTAGCTTAGAATCTTTGTGTCAGCAATGAGCAATCTGTGTTGTCCATTCTGCAAGTCTCAAAGGGCAATTATTTGATTTACAAGCCAGAAACTCATTTATCAGTTGTAGTTTATAAACTTGGTGCAGCAATTTGTGAGTTGACGTCATGCTTATAGCAGGGTGGTTTGGAAACAGTCCACATGGGGATTCATTTCATTTCCTTTTCTTTTTTTTCCTTTTTTTAGACAGGGTCTCACTCTGTCACCCAGGCTAAAGTGCAGTGGTGCAATGACAACTCACTGCAGCCTGGACCTCCCAGGCTGAAGTGATCCTCCAGCCTCAGCCTCTTGGGTAACTAGGACCATAGGCACGCACCCACCACACCTAGCTAATTTTTTATTATTTTTTTTTATGTTTGTAGAGACAGGCTGGTCTCAAACAGTCCTCCCACCTCAACCTCCCAAAGTGCTAGGATTACAGATGTGAGCCACTGTGCCTGGCTGGATTTATTTTCAGTAGTGGAAGTGAGAGGCATGGAAATAAGGCAACACCTGGGTCCCTTGGTCTTGAGAAACTTGGAGATTTGGAAGCACAGTGTGTCTTGTACATTGAGTAGAGGGCCTGACTGATCTCATGTCAGAGTCCCTCTGATTTTCAAGCTCTACATTCACAGAGAGCACACACAGAATGGATGGGCATGTGTGGAAGTTCAGGGATCTTTGTTTTGTTCACTGGCATTTCCTCAGTGCTCAGAATAGTGCATGGTGGGCTCTCAGGATATTTTTGTTGACTAATTATTCAATACTTAACAATGTGTGCAAAGGAGAAAGAACAAATCAATAGCTATTCAGTTGCCAACAAGCCCAGAGTGTCACTCTCAGACTTAGCCACAAACTTTGCTGTTGGGTCACAGCAAAATGAAAGAGGAGAGGGAAAAACCAGGAACCAGAAGAGTAAGGACTGAGGGTGAACCGAAGGAGCTCTGGAAACTCTGTGGTCCAGGCCCAGCGTGGTTTGGTTTAGATGACAGGTTGGTTCAATCTAAAGTGTGGGACACGTCAGTGGGAGTTCCAGTGACAGGCTAGAATCAAAGTCAGGTGGATGGAGAGTGGGTCAATCCCAGCAGAGCCCAGCCAGTGGCTGAAGGTATCAGAGAAAGGACTTGGTTTTATAGGGGAGGGACCTGGCAAGAACTAAGAACATTTGAAAGGGCAAAAGAACTAGAGTGCAGGGCTATGGAAATGATCAAAGTGCAAACATAGTGCGTTAACATGGTAGGTGCCTGGGGAAGGCTGTTATCTGTCCAGTCGACATGGATGCCCAGGGCTTCCTAGGTCTTTGCTGGCAAGTCAGATTCTAAGGGTCAGCAGCTGGACAAGGGCTGATGATAGTGTAGGCAGGGCCAAGCCTACACATAAAGGAGACCAGATCAGCTCTCTCACTGCACGCTTCCATTGTATCCTTAATATGCTTTTGGGCAACACTACTTACACTTGCAATTACCTCAACAGCTTTTGTACCTTGCTGGTATATGAGGGCGGGCATTGTTTTTATATTGACTACCACTATATCCCCAGCACAATACTTGGCACATGATGCGCACGCAGTGTGACTAAAGGAAAGAACTGGGGCCTGTCTATGGAAGAGGCTTGCAAAAGCAGAGATGGACTCTGAGACTCAGCAGACTTACATCCCAGCAATATTTCTCAACTCATCTACCTCTTACTTCTTTGCAAGGGTCAGGACTGGAATTAAGGAGAAGGAAAGTACACCACAGTCATGACCTGCCCTGTAGAGCAAAGCTTAACAGGACAGCTCTGCTATGCTGCCCCTGTTGTCCTGAATAGCACCAGATTTTCTGTTGCAATTACACAGTTTAGTCTTTGAATAGTGCATTTTCATGCCAGCATTTTCTTCTACATTAAAGAAGAGAGCTAATAAGACAGTATGAGGGTCCAAGGAGAGGAAAGGTGAGGAGTAGAGAGAGGAATGAGAGAAAGAAAAGGAAGAAAAGTAAAGATCTCATTATCATTTGCACCAGGACTGGATTTGGGCTGTTAATGGCTCTGCTTCTCAGTTACTGCCCCAACCTGCCCATTGCTGACTTCTACTCTCCTACGATGCTGCAGTGGCAACAATCACCTCAGGAGAACCTCCCAGAGACAAACAGCCCTGCCCACCACACAGCAGAGCAGCAGCCAGTTTTGTTCTGACCTCCTGACTTCCACACCTCACATGTTAAAGTTCAGCTCCACTGCACTTGCTCCTCTCCTAGGACTTTTCTCCTTGTAGCATGAGCATCCCTGTCAGTGAGACAGAGCTGGATGGTATTAAACTCTAGAACGCCTCTGTAGCCAAAGCTAATAAACAATGGAAAGAAGGGTGGATGGTGGAAAAGAAAGATTCTCTGTGTGTATATGTGTATTTTTAAACTAACAGGAAAAACATTGCAAATGGAATTTCAGTAGAACAAAATCTTATCCAACAGGAAATTTTAAATGATTCTAAGAAATACCAAAGAACGCAGACTGTTTGCAGAAAAACCAATGGATGACAACATTGCCTCTAAAAGGACTTGCTGTTTGAGATAAAAAAAAATAGCAAAAACTGGCCTACACCCACAAAGCAAATAGCTGTAAGGGATGATGGGAACAAACTGGAATGTGGAATTCTTTGACCCACATTTTTACAGCAAATAAAAATAAAGGATTTCAAATGTAATCCTAGGAGGGTAGGGGGAAAGAAATCAAAGAAACCAAATGACTTAGAACTAGCAGAAATAATTTCCGGAAAAAAGAGGCTCTGGGCATATATGGTAAGGGGAAAAATATCAGTATCTCATTCAGATGTATTGATCTCTTAGGAAGGGATTTGGACTTTTCCTCCAAACACCTTCTTCCAGTGAAGTTAGTGCTCACTGGAGCCCACATGGGAAGCAAGAAGTTAGAGCTTCCAGAAAGTCCACTCACAGACACAGGTGGTTTTTGAGTCAAGCCAAGGGATGTGTTAACCAGCTTACTCTTCTAGGTAGTAGAATGCCAGTTACAGGCTAGGCACAGAGCAGGAGAGACAGGGTATCCTTGGATTGTAATCCATTTTAAGAATTTCTATAAATACAATATTTACCCTCAAGGCATGCTTTATTGGTTTAGGGTCATGCTTTCTTTTTGAATGACAAAAGTAATCCAACACAGAAATATCTAACCACTGTGCAAAGGAGATATGAACATATACTCCATTCATGACACATGATACAAATGCAAAATACAGTTTACCAGAGGGAACCTTACAAACACAGAAGTAGCAGAGCTCATGCAATCCCGCAAGTTATCTTTCCCAGGAAAAGCATGCTTAGACTGGGACTAGAGAGATATAGTCACAAAAGGACCTATTCCACAATGCTCTACATACATATAGAGAAAGGTGATCATGTACCAATGGGAGCTTGCAGATCAACCTGTTCAGAAGGGAAGCTATTCCTCATCTCTAAAAGAAAGATAATAATTGTACTTACTAGCTGGGTGCGGTGGCTCACGCCTGTAATCCCAGCACCTTGGGAGGCTGAGGTGGGTGGATCATATGAGGTTAGGAGTTTGAGACCAGCCTGGCCAACATGATGAAACCCCATCTCTACTAAAAATACAAAAATTAGCCAGGCATGGTGGTGGGCGCCTGTAGTTCCAGCTACTCAGGAGGCTGAGGCAGGAGAATGCCTTGAATCCAGGAGGCGGAGGTTGCAGTGAGCCAAGATCGTGCCACTGCACTCAAGCCTGGGTGACAGAGTGAGCCTCTGTCTCAAAATAATAATAATAATTGTATTTATCTCATAAAGCTATTAGAGAGATTAAGATAATTAATACTTATAAAAGATGTAGAACACTGCCTACACATAGAAAGCAATTTTTCAATTAAAAAATATGTATCAAATACCAACTATGAATCAAGTGCCATTTTAAGGGCTGAAAATGCAATGGTGAAAATGGAGCTTCCATCTAGTGGGAGTGAAGATAATAAACAGCACAGCGTATAATACAATGTCATGTAATAATAAGCACTCTAAAGAAAATAAAGTGATGGGAATGCTTTTTGTACATAGGTTGGTAAGGAAACGCCTCTATGAGGAGATGACACTTGAAGAAGACCTGAATGGAGTAAGGACACAAAACATGTGGCTATCTAGGGGGAAGAGTATTCTAGGCAAAGGAAACAGCATGGGCCAAGGTCCTGAAGCAGGAGCATGCTCAGGGTATTCCTGGGATAAGAAGGCCGGGTTGGGCACGGTGGCTCACGCGTATAATCCCAGCACTTCAGGAGGCTGAAACGGGTGGACTGCTTGAGGTCAGGAGTTCAAGACCAGCCTGGCCAACATGGCGAAACCCCGTCTCTACAAGAAAAAATGCAAAAATTAGCTGGGCCTGGTGATGCATGCCTGTAGTCCCAACTACTTGGTAGGCTGAGGCAGGAGACTGCTTGAACCCTGGAGGTGGATGTTGCAGTCAGCTGAGATCATGCCACTGCACTCCAGCCTGGGTGACAGAGCCAGACTCTGTCTCAAAAAAAAAAAAAAAAGAGCTGTGAGCAAAAAATATTGGGAAATGAGATCAGAGAAGTAGGCAGGGGCCACATCTTGCAGGGACTTGTAGGCTATGATAAGGACTTTGGATTTTGATTAAGAATAATGGTAAGCCATGGGAGAGGATTAAATGGTGAAGTGACATTATCTAATTCATGTTGTGGAGGGATTGTAAGAGAAAGAAAGTAGAAAGAGTTGTTAGGTAGCAATACTCCAGATGTGAGATGATGGTGCCTTAGGCTGGGTGGTGCCACTATTTGTCCTGAGTGACAGCTGGCAAGTATGGTGACGCCATTCTTTCAGATGAGAATCATCCAGGAAGGAGCCGTTGGGTTGGAGGTATTCAAAAGTTTGGTCTTGGACATGTTAATTCTGAAACATAAATTAGACATCCAAACCCAGTAGGCAGCAGCAATGAGATTTACAGCAGTTGACCATTCATCAAAATAATGCTGCAGCAAGCATTCGCCAAGATGGGTTTGAGGGCCTGTGTGGGGAGCACTGCAGGACATTGGCAAGGACCTATGGGTCAATGGCAACTACTATGGATGTCAAGGCATTGGCTCCCTTCAGGAAGACTGAAGGAGAAAGGAAGGAGCATGGCTCAGAGGCCCTTCTGGAGTGGTGTGAACTGCAGTAGGGTGAGGTGACATCAGCTGCATTTGGGGAGGTGGGGGAAAGGGGTTTCTCAGCTGGGTCCAAATAGCTCCAGTGTCTCACTTGGGATTTTGCTCTATTTATAGCTTCTGAGGCTGAGGGTGGGGGGATGAGGCAAAGATCAATCACTTAATATTTCTGAACCTCCTGCTTTTATCTTTTAAGGAAAACAGACTATTCATAGTAATAAGAGCTAATCATTGAATATTTTTCTATATATTGCATACTGTACTAATCGCTTTATAAGCACTGCCTCATTTTATCTTAACAATATGCTGGGAGGCAGATGTCAGCTTATAGATGAGGAACAGATTTAGCGAGAACAAGTAACTTTCCCTGGGTCACAGAGCTTGCATTTATTTATTTATTTGTTTATTTATTTATTTATTTTTATTTTTATTTTTGAGATGGAGTCTTGCTCTATCACCCAGGCTGGAGTATAGTGGCACGAACTCAGCTCACTGCAACCTCTGCCTCCCAGGTGCAAGCGATTCTCCTGACTCAGCCTCCCGAGTAGCGGGGACTACAGGCATGCCACAACTCCCGGCTCATTTTTGTATTTTTAGTAGAGACAGGGTTTTGCTATTTTGTCAGGCTGGTCTCAAACTCCTGATCTCAGGTGATCCACCACCTCAGCCTCCCAAAGTGCTGGGATTATAGGCTTGAGCCACCATGTCCAGCCACATAGCTTTTAAGTGGTTAAGAGACAGGGACTAGAATTGAAATCCAGATAGTCTGACTCTAGAGACTGCTACAATGTTCTGCTTCCAGCTGTCATGTACTATTTCTCTAGGATAAAAGTCACACCTCACATATGTGTTAACATACTTCAGAGCCCTCCGCAGGAACACTGGCATGATTAATTTAGGTGCCTTAAGGCAACAGCAGCTGGCCAGCACCAAATGACTTGTTAAACTAAATAGTGGCTCCCAGCCTCACCATGGACATTCAGATGTCCATGTCCTAAACTCTGTAACCTGTCGCTGTTACATTTATGGCAAAAGGGATTTTGCAAATGTGGTTAAGTTGGCGATCTTGAAATGGGGAGATTGTCCTGGATTAGCCAAGTGGGCCTGATGTAATCACAAGGGTTCTTCTAAGAGGGAAGGTAATGTGAAGGTGGAGGTAGAGAGAGATAGAGATTTGAAGGTGATGCTACATTGCCACTTTTGAAGACAGAAGAAAGGATCATGAGCCAAAAAGTGCAAGGAAAACAGCTCTAGAAGCTGGAAAAGGCAAGGAAACATATTCCCCTAGAGTCTCCATAAGGAAGCACCCTGCCAACACCTTGACTTCACCCAGTGAAACCAATTTTAGACTTCTGGCTTTTGGAATTACAAAAGAATAAATTTTTGTGTCTTTAAGTTGCCAAGTTTGTGACAATTTATTATAGCTGCGATAAGAAACTATTAATAATATGAATGGAGTGGGGTGGCAGGCATGGCAGCTACTGGATGAGGATGTCAGGGAGAGCTAGAACTAGTGCGGTGGTGAAAGCCCCTGGACATATTCAAGGATAGAATGGTCTGAGAAAAGGCTAAGAAGTAGCCACAAGCTGTTCAGCTGAGGATAGCTGCAATTTCTAACACATCCCACAGAAGGCTGGGCTTCTGGAAAGGTCAGGATAACTATTTAAAGGATTGTTGAGTCAAAGGAACCTCTGCTGGTCTGACCAGGCTTTCTTCATGGTGCAGGACTGAGGAGACCATGCATCCACTTGGTGAGATGGGGACCCAGGTGCTTTGCTGGTCAAGCAGTGGCACCTTGGCTCAGCACACAGCACAGTGTTTTATACATAATGGGGCCCCCTTAAGGTTTGTCCCTTGTGGACAGCGTGACTCAGAAGTAGGAAACACATACACATATCCACCCGCATACATACACATCTCAGAGTTGAGACAAACATTTTCTCATTCTAGATTTCTAAATAAGCCCTAAAAATAAAAGCCCTGAAAAAAATTCTACCCAAATGTACAGGATTAAAGAATAATAATCTGATGTAGGGCGTGGCTTTTCTCTAAGGAAATTCGTGCCATTTATCACAGATACTCAGGTCCATGAGCACTCCACCCACAGCAGTGGGAAATGTCAACGTTAGCAAGGAGAAGTTACCACTGTACCTGATTTATCATGGCCTCTGGGGTAAAACTGCAAACATATGCTATATTAATTAGCTTTAATCAACCATTGTGTAAGGAATTGAAATACCAATACTCTATCATTTTTAAACAGGGCAGTCTGAATTTCCTAATGTTGGCCTCTGGAAAGACTACTTGCCAACACACTGGGAGTATTTCTTGATTTGCTCCCAAGGAAAGCATTATTCACAGAAAGACATTTTAGCATTTCAGAGCTCTGGAGCCCTTAGTTTCAAACACTCTTGGTTTGAGTGACACTGAGTCAGAACTTAATGGTTTTTGGCCTATAGTCAGCAAGATTTATGAATCAGACTCCAGATACAATGCCATTTCTATTATTAACTTCTTTTTACTGATTATAAATACTGTGCAAGAGCCCGTGGCCTGCAGTGCCACAAGGTCCATCTCAAATGCTAAGGTTCTCACAGTGGTGGTCACACAGGCATTTCCTTTACAGTATCCAGTTCATACTCCTGCTCCAGCTGTGGTTGGTGGTGACAGAGGCAGTGATGTGAGGTTGCTGCTACAATAGCAGGGAGTTTCCGGCCCCAACCAAGATTAGAGGTGCAGGCAGGCAACCCCAGCATCAAATGGTATAACTGATTTCATAAAGCTATGAAAAGGAAGTCAATCTGGGAGAGAGGTAGACTCTGGCAAAATGTAAGTGTTACATTTACCCCTCACCTGATGAACTCCTACTCACACTTCAAGGCTCAATTCAGATGTCTGATGAAGATACCATGAGATTGCATGACAAAGCTTAGCAGAATTATGGGAAGGGCTTCTTCCACACCTTGGCTTAGAACAGAGATGGTTCTGGGGTAACACAGACTGACGGGAAGACAGTAGCACCTGAAGGGATAAAAAAAAATTACGGTGTATGTCATTGTAGAAAACATAGGAATGCAGAAAAGTGTACAATAAAAAAATCCAAATCACGCATAATAGAACCACATGGATATAGAACTATTAGCAATTTACTGCATTTTAAAAGGTATTTTATTTCCAGACAATTTTTTAATCATTAATAAATTATGGCAAATCCATATGATACAGCCAGTAAAATCAATTTTTCAAGAATATTTAATGACTTGAGAGAATGTTTGTGATACAATAAAAATTCATGTTGTACTTTTTTCAGTATGATCTAAATTTTGTAAAAAGAAAACATATACACATCTGCATATATACATTTAAAACTGCTGAGGATTAATAAACAAATGAATTATAAATGAAAAATAACTGCAAATTCTTTGTCACTCTCTAAGTCATCCCAGCCCACCCCTGAGTTGGGGTCTATTTCTTTTCCTTCTTGAATCTGTTTAGGCCTGAGACTGATTTGACCAATAGAATACAGGATAAATGATTCTGTGATAATTCTGGGCCCGGCTTTTTAAGAGGACTGGAAACTTCTAATTCTTCCCTCTTGGAACTCAGCTGCCAAGCTACGAAGAGACCCAAGCAGCTATGGAGGAGCCATGTTGAGGATGATCATCCCCTTTGGCCAACAGCTGTAGCCGGCACTGGCCAGCATTCCTGCCAGCTTGCCAGGCATGTGAATGAACCATCTTGAAAGTGGGTCCTCCCTCCTCCAGCGAGGAATACACAAATGGTGTATTTCTGTCGGCTAAAATCAGAGATCTTTGTGACTTTTCCTCCTTTGTTCATTGTATTGCTTTCTTCCACTTAGCTTCTTCATATGTCAATATTCCCTTCTTCAATTTTTGATAATATGCCTGGATGATTAGTTAAGATGATTTCTCATTAGAAAATGCTGTGGGAAAATACACATATATACACATATTTTATGTAAGTGGTTTCCCAGTTTTCAGCAGTACAATAATCATTTTTAACTAGGAAGACATACTTTTTTCAAAGACTTGTCCAAAAACATACCAGGTTGCTGTTTGGTGCAATAATCAGGTATTTATTAGAGAGAAGTATAAAGGCATGTGAGAGGCCGTGTGCCTCTGACTATCTGATTCAGGTCAGGTGAAGGTTGGCTGTGTTTTCTAACTCAATAAATGGACTGTTTAATAAAAGGTAATTTAGCCAAGTGCAGTGGCTGACACCTGTAATCCCAGAACTTTGGAAGACCAAGCCAGGAGTTTGAGACCAGCCTGGGTTACATAGCAAGACCTCGTCTCTACAAAAAATTTTAAAAATTAGCTGGGCATGGGAGTGTGTGCCTGTAGTCCCAGCTACTTGGGAGGCTGAGACAGGAAGATTGCTTGAGCCCAGGAGTTCAAGGCTGTAGTGAGCTATGATTGAGCCACTGCATTTTACCCTATACAACAGAGCGAGACCCTGACTCTTAAACAAAAAAAGGTTATCTGCCTAACGTATTCAGCCATACCAAAGCCAGGGGTGCCAACCATATTGTTTCTGTCTTTTGGAATCATTCCAAGATATAGAGCTCTGAGAGAGGATATTCCATGCTGTAAGACCTTAGTAGCATAAAACATTCCCCTGTCCAGAATTGCTTTGAAAATTCTGACACCTCTCCCCGCCAAAAAAATACTGGACAATAATACATTCAACATCACATTAGGTCTGAATATGAATAACTCATTTTAATTACTTGCATATATTTAGTACAGCATTACACAATGTTCACATGCCTGCTATTTTAGGAACAATAAGACTTTGAACTTAATCCTTAATGCTTTTGCCTTAAATCCAAGATAGGACAAATTTGGACATACGTCTGCAGGACTACTCCTCACTCCTAGGAGGAAGGAGATTCTTCAGAATCAGCTCTATTCATGTGTTTGTAGTAAGCCATCTCTGATTGTTTTTATTCACAATACTTCTGACACCAAACATGGGGTTTTCACTCACATCAATCCATTCTCTAACTCTTCGAACACCAACTAAGTGTTCTACAATTCAATTCAATTCTGACACCATCTACCCAGAGTGAGTGCAGACCCCACAGGTTAAGGGCTTGGTCCCACAAGACTGTTCCCACTTCAGACACCAATTGCCAGTTTGGGCCATTCATACTCCTGAGCAACTGGTTATAAAGTAGGGGGATTCCTACAACCCTCTCCTCAGGTTCACAGACCTCAAGACAGTGCTTTACTTACTATTCCCAGTTTCTTACAAAGGATACAATTCAGGAATAGCCAAATGGAAGAGATGCACAGGGCAATGTATGGTGGGGTGGGTGGGGATGGGGGAGGAGTTTCTAAGCCCTCCTTGGGTCCCCACCCTCCTCCCAGCACTTGGATGTGTTCACCAACCCAGAAGCTCTCCAAACCCCATTGTTTAGGGACTTTTTGTTTTGTTTTTGTTTTGAGATGGAGTCTTGCTCTGTTGCCCAGGCTGGAGTGCAGTGGCTCACTCTCAGCTCACTGCAACCTCCGCCTCCTGGGTTCAAGCGATTCTCTTGCCTCAACCTTCCGAGTAGCTGGGGGTACAGGTGTGCGCCACTACACCCAGCTAATTTTTGTATTTTTAGTAGAGACGGGATTTCACCATGTTGGTTGGCCAGAATGGTCTCGATCTCTTGATCTCGTGATCCACCTGCCTCGGCCTCTCAAAGTGCTGGGATTACAGGCGTGAGCCACCGTGCCCAGCCTGTTTAGGTTTTTTAATGGAGACTTCATTACACAGGCATCATTGATTAAATCATTGGTGATTAGTGAATGAACTCAAACTCCAGCCCCCTTCCCCTCACTGGAGGTTGAGGGGAGTGGGAAGGCTGAAAACTCCAGCCCTCTTATCACATGATTGGCTCCCCTGGCAACCAGCCCCTATCTTGAAGCTATCTAGGGGTCCACCAGGAACCACCTTATTAGCATAAATTTAGGTATGATTGAAAGGAACTTGTAATGAGTAACAAAAGATGCTTTTATCACCCCTATTGCTCAGGAAATTCCGGGAATTTTGGAAGCTATGTCAATAACTGGGAACTGGCGGGGCATGGTGGCTCATGCCTGTAATCCTAGCACTTTGGGAAGCCAAGGTGGGTGGACCAGAATTTCAAGACCGGCCTGGGCAACATGGCAAAACCCATCTCTATAAAAAAATTGTAAAAATTAGCCAGACATGGTGGTCCATGCCTGTGGTCCCTGCTACTCAGGAGGCTGAGTTGGGAGGATCACCTGAGCCTGGGGAAGTTTAAGCTGCAGTGAGCTGTAATGGCACCACTGCATTCCAGCCTGGAGGGTACCTGTCTCCAAACAAAAAATAAACAAACAAACAAACAAACAAAAAGAACTGGAACAAAGACCAAATACATATTTCTTTTTACCACACCATCTTTCTGAGTTTTCCTTTAATAGCCCATGAACATAAACTCCCCACCCTCATAACTGTTTCTTTCTTCAGGGAGAGATACAAAACTTATTTCTTGGGTGAAGATCTCCACTTTAAGCTGCAGATTCACATTACTGTGCCCTTGGCAATATTAACTCATTCATTCATTCAGACAGTCAGTAAATTTTTTTTGAGGCATTGTTTTAGGTACCGTTCTGAGTGCTTCAGGTTTAGCCATGAATCAAAAAGACAAAATCTGTTCTCATGGAGCGTAAATTTAGTGGGGGTAATCCAGTCAGTGAAAAAATGAGTAAACAAAATAATTTCAGGTACTGCTATGAAGAAAATATAACTCAGTGATGTGCTAGAGATTGTCTGGGAGACTACTTTAGATTCCATGCCAAGGGAAGGCTCTCTGGCAGGGGGTCTACAAAGGTAAGCCACCCTTCCCCATCCCATCCTGGTCTGACAAGGAGGGGTTGAGAAAAACAAGCAGAACTTCTCTGTGTAATATGCAAAAAGCATTTTTCAATGCTTGTGGGGATGGGAAATAATCTTAGGGAGATTCTTTTCCTGTGAACTGATTTCTTTTCCTTAGAATGAATCACTATAGTTCAAAATTCCAGAAAAATTATAATCTTACGAGATCTTATAAGAACCCATCTCCAGCTCTTCTTAAATTTTGAATTTTCCTTCAGACATTGTTTCTGTTGTGTAATGCTTCTATCTTATTTCCTTTTTTGCCTTCTCCTCTGATATCCCATTAGAAATAGAGTCATTTACTATTAAGTCTGGTCAACCACATGCATTTTGAAATATTTACTTCCCAATAAAAGTTAGATGAGTAATTTACATCTAAAAAGAGCTTCTACCACTGAATATCTCGGTCATCACTTGTAAACATAACTTATATGACTTTGTTCACTTTTTTTTTTTTTTTGAGACAGGGTCTCGCTCTGTCTCTCATGCTGGAATGCAGTGGTGAGATCTCAGCTCACTGCAACCTCTGCCTCCCAGGTTCAAGTGATTCTCCTGCCTCAGCCTCCCGAATAGCTGGGATTATAAGCATGTGCCACCACGCCCGGCTAATTTTTTTTTTTTGTATTTTTAGTAGAGACAGGGTTTCACCATATTGGCCAGGCTGGTTTCGAACTCCTGATCTCGAGTGCTCTGCCCACGTCGGCCTCCCAAAATGTTGGGTTATGGGTGTGGGCCACTGCACCCAGCCAGTTCACTTTTCTTTTGCATTAATGGGCACCATGATATTTTGAAGAGGGCACAGAGTGGTGAAAGACCACGGGCTTTGGGGTCAGGTCTAGCTTTGAGTCCCTACTCTTCCATTTGCTGACTGAGTGAATGTAATCAAGTTACTTAATCTTTTCTGGATGGAAATCGTAGCTACATTTTAGGGTTATAGAATCAAAGATACTCAATGAAAATTGTCTGGCAAACACTAGGCACTTAATTCACAGAAGTTATTACTATTATTCTAGTCATGTTCAGTAATTGATATAAGCTCTTGGATTCTATATATGGTTTTTCTGACATTTCCACTTTTGCCTTTTAAAATCTGCTATGAATGTACTTGTAAATATAAACCTTGTGTCTTCCAAATGCAAAGGGGAAAAAAACCAATTAAGATTACATTGAATAGAAGTAAGTGTGCTGGAATTAGAGCTATGTGATATTAAACAGATTAATTTCCATGGGCTGTTGATGCAGTCATAAGCCTAAAATAATTTGGCAGAGCTAAACCAGACTAGCAAAAACAGACTTCTGAACTGGCACATAGCACAAAAGGTAGTTCTCCTTATGCCCAAATATAGATGTTGACTCATGCAGGCTGGGTTAAACATCTGAGGAACAAAGTGGTATCACCCAAGGAGGCAGGATGACATCATTCTGCAAATGTTTCTCGTCTGTCTGGTTTTGGGGATTAGACCTTTTTAGCTCCTATTTCTCATAATTTCCATTGGTTGCTCTTAAATACTACCCTCCTTGAGAGATGCAACATCAGCTCCTGCCTATCTTTAAATTTCCTGTGCATTGCAAGTATTATTTTTCCTTGTCTGACATGGTATTTGGTTTCTACCTTACTAATTCTATTGAAAGTGGTCTCAAAGGAGCCACTAAAAATGGTCTAGTTGCTCAACCAAATAGCTTTCTTTTTCGTTTTCCTCTAGATCTGTGTACGGTGTTTGACACTGCTGATCGATTCCTTTTCCTTATCACTCTTTTTCTTTGCTTTCTTATGCTTGTCTCAGGATTCCTTTTTTCAAAAGGCAGTTCTTAGGAGCCTCCTTCATAAATTTCTCTTCCACAACCCGCCACGAGATGTTCTCCAGAGTTACAATTCAAGACCTTTTCCTTGTTCACACACTCTCCCTGCCAGCACATTGCCCTGTGTCCCCACTCTTATGCACCTTCCCCCAAACTCAACCTGTTCAGGTCCCTGAACCTGCCCCAACTAAGAACCTTCAATTTTCTCCATTATTTTCACAATAAAGCCCAGGCAATCTTAGAAGACCGTTAAATGCTTTATAACTGGGTCTTAGCAAATCTTTAGAGCTTCATCCTAACCACTGATGTTCTCTGCTCCTGCTCATGCTGTTTATTTATCTCTCTCCTTTCTGCTTTCCACAAAAATCTTGGAAATCCTCCAAGATCCAATTCAAATGTCACTTCTGCAAAATTTCCCTTAGCACCTTCCTCCCTGCTCCCCTGATGGAATTGGTGCCTTCATCACAGTTCCTATATGATTTTTTTGTTTGTTTGTTTACTAGTGTAGCATTTCCCACATTTTATTACTATCTGGTCTGGACTTATTTGTTTGTTCCCTTAAATGGTGATTTCTTGAGAGAAGTGACATTAACGTCTTTGTCTTATTATTATTCATACTACTCATCACAGTACCTTGTAGATAACTGTGTTCTCAAGAAACTTTTCTTGATTTGAATTTAACTTATTTTTCAAAGATCAGTCTTCTAATCAGGTGCAGTTGCATTGCTACTTAAAAGGAGAGTGAAAGAGAGAGAGAATCTTTGTCATCAGCTCATTGTATCTTAACTGTATTTAGGCTTTCATACCAAAGCTCTTTTCTACTCTCCA
This sequence comes from Homo sapiens, assembly GCF_000001405.40. Classification (NCBI taxonomy): domain Eukaryota; kingdom Metazoa; phylum Chordata; class Mammalia; order Primates; family Hominidae; genus Homo; species Homo sapiens. The sequence goes on along the minus strand of NC_000012.12, from coordinate 27,178,756 downwards.
TACATAATTAAACTGTGGGCAAAAGAAAGGTGTTCCATGCTATGTACAACCAACTCCCTGGTCAGCTAAATTCTAGTGCAGAATCATCGGAAAGAATCGGAATGTCTAACTTACTATATGGGAATAAAGAGTCTACTTAATTAAGTTGGATAAGCTCTTCCACGACATCAGTATATCATTTAGTACATTTCTTCTCCTAGGAGATTAAATAGGGCCTGGATATATGTTATAATAAATGCACACAAGCTCTAATTTTGTTCAGCCAAATAAATGGTTACTTAAAACTAAGCCTGGATAGACTCAATTGTATCATGTAACTAAGCCAGACAGAAAAAAAGCCTTATTCTAGTGGTTGTGAAGTGCACTGTTTTTCTACTTTCAGCCACTCTATTTAGCCAAGATCTACTTCACTAATGATCTTTACTTCACCAATGAACAAAAAGAAGGTTGGAGGTTTTATAAAAGAAGAAATGTTACTTATTGGTTTTTCTGTTTGTTTGTTTTCTGAGACAGGGTCTGAGATAGGAATATTTAGTGCGTTTTTTAAAACTCAGGAGATCATAAAGGCAACAGAAAAAAAAATCTGTTGTGAATGATGAAATCTCTACTGCTTAATAAGCCTGCATACAATTTATAATATATATTTCTATTAAAATAATTGATAGCATACATTGAGCAATAGCATGTATATGTTAAGCACTGGCTCAATACCTTATATGGATTATCTCATTTCCCCACAATAATCCCATGAGGTTGGAACTATTATTATCCCCATTTTATAGATGAGGCAACTGAAGGTCAAGTAACTCCCTAGTGTCACAGAGCTACTAAGCTGTAAACTATGAGTCAAAGTCTGACAATCCATAAGCAATGTGGCTAAGGAAATGTGGCCAGGCAGGTCTTACTCTTTGCTTGTGCATTTTTTTCCAGCCCAGTCTTAAGATTCTTAAATCCTTAAGGACTGATGCTTTGTCAGTTATATCTACAGAAGACTTTTATCTCTTTTTGAAATATAAAAAGAAAAGGGAAAGGGAGAAATGCAAAGCAAGTCAAATTATATGAATGCACAGTTTTCTGCTCAAACTTTGGTTGATAGCTACATGTGGTTAAGTGGAAGCTGTGCTCAAAGTTCTGTAGGTCTTTCACAGAGGGTCTGGCTGCGTCTTAGCAGAAATAAGTCTCCTTTTTCTGGTTCTTCCCTCTGCCTTCCCAGAGGAGCTCTATAACATGGAGCCCAGGGGGCTTGAGTACAGAATTATCAAGCACTGCCATGTAATTATTGTATTTACACAGACATTTCTTTTGTAAGCTGACATTTCTCCTTCTCTTTTTTCCAGTGTCTACCAGAAAAATTCCTCCATATTGTTTTTGAAGAGAATGAGCCAAAACATTAATGACTTATTAACCTATCCTCTTTTTAGCAGAAGTCTTGAAAACAGTACTGAGCCTATTTCCAAGATAGGCTACTTGCAAATATTTCTTTACAGCTGCCAGTTATTATTATTGTGGCATGATCAGTCTGCTCCTGAGAAAGGTGGCTTCCTACATTGTGTCTCCAAGAATAAATGTTACTAACATTAACAATAATCCATCTGAGGGTGTGGGAAAACAGATATCATATATTGCTTGTAGGAGTATCAATCAATTGGTAAAATTTTTCATAGACAGCAATTTAGCAATAGCTATTGACATTACAAATGTACTTATGATCATACTGATGATTCATAAGTGATTCACTGTAGCATTATTTTGTAACAGGAAAAGATTGCAGTCTAAATATCCATTCATAAGGTACCTAAATGCAGACCTAAAAAAGATTGAGAAAGCTCTATGGGTAATACAGAATGACATCTAAACTCTGTGTGGGGGGGGTGTGTGTGGGTGGATGTGTGTGGCTGTTTATATACAGTACTGTGCTGGTAAATATGCAACAACCAGCCCCACAAGTGTAGATTCATAAATGCTGGTAGACAAAAAAGATGAAAATGAAAAAGACATATTTTGGAGCTTCACTGGTACATCAATGACATGCATGATCTCTTTGCTGAATCAGATATTAATTTCAAATACTGGAAGGATAACTCCTCAACTTTTTGTTCAGTTATTCACAATGATAAACTTTGAAGTTTAATTTGTATTATTAACATTTTTATCATCATTTTCTTAAGTCTAGATAATCAACAAAAAATCAATAGATAATCAACAAAACAAAAAATAGATTATCAACAAAACAAAAAATTAAGTCCTGATTTGTATCATTTGCTGAATTCTGTGGTGAAAATACTCCCAAAATAGCCAGTTTCAAGATATCAACATGTCATCATGGAATACAGAGTTGGGAAGAGACACGCATATCTCTATGTGCATCGTTATATAGTATTTCTACCATACGGATACAGCAGATGCAAATAATCTCAAGAGCACAGATAATAGTGAAATGTAGTAAAATGATTTGGAAGTGATTAATTTTTAGTAGTTATTAGCTTTTTATAACTTATTTAACTTATTAAAGTAATAAAGTAAGTTATTTTTAAACAATGGCTGTGTTTAATAACCAACTCACAAAATTCCTATAAATTAAACAATTGGCTCTCCTGAGTTGGTGTGAGCCAGAGCCAGCATACCACTGTGTGTATAATTAATTTAAATTCAAATTAACAAATTCAATGCATTTATGTATTCAAGAAACAAATATTCATTTAGTATCTACAACGCAGAATGGTTGCTGCCCTCTTGGAACAGGGTCCCAGCAGAAAACAGAAAGCATTCTGTATGCTTTCTGTTTCCTTAAGAAACAGAAGGAAAATTCAATGAAGGGACTATTTACAAAGGTGTAAACAAGTTTAAGGAAATACAAAGAGATGCTGACACGTCTGTGAATATATGAGAAGATATTCAGATATTAAATTGTATACTTTAAGTGGGTAAGTTGTATGACATGTGAATTATATCTCCATCAAGCTGTTTTAATAAGAGAGAAAGAGAGGGTGATTCCCCCAGGGATGAACTAGCAATGGCAGGGAGTCATTAACATTCATATGGCTTATGGGGCAAGAAAAGGAACAGTGTTATCAGAGATCTGTGAGAGATGAAGACCCAGAGGAAGGGCTACCCAGCAAGAGCTGTGTTTAAAGAGAGACTTAATCACTGCCCCAACTGTAGCTCTAAAGCAGAGGGAGTTGGAGGGGTAGCCCAAACAGTCTCCTCTCCTGCTCTTCAATCTCCTATTGATGTCTCCCATTGGCCAAACTCAACTATAAGTGAGAGGGCAAGGGAACTTGAGAGATGCATTTATAAATGTCAACTCCCTAGGGCACAGAACAGATCCATAAGGGGTGGATAATGGATCTGAGGGCAAACAGAGGAGAGTCAGCACATACACACACACACACACACACACACACACACACACACACACACACACACACAGAGTGTTTTTGCCAATATGGTATATGTATAGAATATCTCTAGAAGAAACACAAGAAAATTATTAACACTGGTTGGCTTCAGGGAAGGAAGAAGATAGAAAAACATAGGCTTTTCACTGTATAACATTTTGTGACTTTTCAATTTTGAACCATGTGAATATATTACCTATTTCAAAAAATAAATAGCATTTAAATTTAAAAAATTAAAATAAACCAAAACCCAAGTGATTTTGTGGCAGTCATTAAGGCTGTTCACAAATACACCGATTCTTCTCTCCTGAACACAGAGTAGGATTATAGTTCTCTAACCCTGTTGAAGTTAGCTGTTGGCCAATGTCTTATTTGACAAATGAAATATGAGCAGAACTAACTAACATAGGTCTCATTCAGGCAGAAGCCTTAAAAGCCAGTGCATTTATTGCCATTTTCCCATTTTCCTGCCTCAGGAAGTGTGGAAGCATCTATCTAGATGGAGTTCCTGTTAACCAGGGTCTATGATTTATAAGGAGCACACACCCACCCTTCCACAACCACTTCACTACAATGAACATGTAGCATAAGTGAGAAATAACCATTGTTGCTTTAAATAACTGAGCTTATGGGATTGTTTGTTACTATCATATACACTAGCCTATCCTCACTGATACAGGATTGAACAGGTGACTCCTGACATTATTTCCAAATCCAAAATACAAGGTTTTTAAGAATATTTCTATTTAGCCTCTTGTATGAAAAACAATCCACATATTTCCATCCACAGAAACATTATTGATTGTAATGATGGTATGAATATTAATTTATGAATATTAATACCAAGCCTAAATTTAGCAACTTATATCAGAGCTTCAAAAATACACACCTTTGGCCAGGTGTGGTGGTTCATGCCTGTAATCCCAACACTTTGGGAGGCCGAGGCAGGCAGATCACCTAAGGTCACAAGACCAGCCTGGCTAACATGGTGGAACCACATCTCTACTAAAAATACAAAAATTAGTCGGGCATGGTGGTGCACACCTGTAATTCTAGCTACTTGGGAGGCTGAGGCAGGAGAATTGCTTGAACCTGGGAGGTGGAAGTTGCAGTGAGCCGAGATTCCACCACTGCACTCCAGCCTGGGCAACAGAGCAAGACTCTTTCTCAAAACAGAACAAAACAGAAAAACAAAACACACCCTTTGACCAAGCAATTCTACTCCTAAAAATTAATTCTAATGAAATAGACAACAATAATGATGAAATTTTATTGAAAGGTTGTTATACCCAGGTGCTATTCTAAGTGCTTTGTATAAATTAACTTAGAATGTTTATAGCAATCCTATGATACATAACCTATTATTATTACCTATTTGTATTACACTTTTATACAATAAGACTGAGGCTTAGAGATGTTAAGAAACTTATAAAAATTCTGTAACTATCAGGTAGAGTATTTGGAATTTTCATCTATCAGCTTGACTCCAGAGCCCATGCTTTCAACCACTATGATATAATTTACTGCTACTTCTTTTTTTTTTTTTTTTTTTTTTTAAGATGGAGTTTTGCCCTTGTTGCCCAGGATGGAGTGCAGTGGCGCGATCTTGGCTCACTGCAATCTCTGCCGCCTGGGTTCAAGCAATTCTCCTGTCTCAGCCTCCGAGTAGCTGGGATTACGGGCACCTGCCACCACGTCCAGCTAATTTTTGTATTTTTAGTAGAGACGGGGTTTAACCATCTTGGCCAGGCTGGTCTTGAACTCCTGACCTCGTGATCCACCAGCCTCGGCCTCCCAAAGTGCTGGGATTACAGGAGTGAGCCACTGCGCCCGGCCTACTGCTACTTCTTAAATAGATGTGTGTTAATCATAGCATTGCTTTAGAATAACAAAAGAGGGAAATAACTTTAATGTCTAAGTGTGAGAGAGTGGTTGAATCAATTGTGGTAGCACTATGTGATAGAATACTATACATGCACAATCATTTTTAAAAATCACAAGGAGGCACATGAAAAGATATTGTGTCAGCAAAGATGTGGAGAAAAGGGCACCTTTGTACACTGTTGGTGGGATTGTAAATTAATACAGCCATTCTGGAAAACAAGATGGAGGTTCCTTGAAAACTGAAAACCATGTGATCCAGCAATCCCCCCTCTAGGTCTGTATTCAAAGGAACTGAAATCAGTATGTGGAAAAGATGTCCACACTTCCATGTTCATCGAAGTGTCGAAATCAAATAAAATTTAGAGATAAATTGCTAATTCAAAACATTTTCTTTGGGAAGCAAGAATTGTAGTTCAGGACATACACATAGACTGGGTGGTCCTCCTTGAGTATGCCTGAAGAACAAAAAGAAGGTTGAAGGTTTTATAAAAGAAGAAATGTTACTTATTGTTTTTCTGTTTGTTTGTTTTCTGAGACAGGGTCTGACTCTGTCACCCAGGCTGGAGTGCAGTGGTGTCATCATGGCTCAGTGCAGCCTTGACCTCCCTAGGCTCAGGTGATCTTCCCACTACAGCTTCCCAAGTAGCTGGGATTACAGGTGCATGCCACCACAGCTGGCTAATTTTCATACTTTTTTGTAGAGATGGGGTTTTGCCATGTTGCCCAGGCTGGTCTCCAATTCCTGAGCTCAAGTGATCCACCAGCCTTAACCTCCCAAAGTGCTGGGATTACAGGCTGAACCACCACACCCAGCCCCTACTTAATTGTGTTGAAAGAATGTTCACTGGCACTAGGAAGGTTCTGGGGAGCTGGGGAGCTCTGACTGGTGAGTGAAGGTGGTGGGTAAAACTAATCTTAGAGTTGCAGCAGGTTGAGTAGCCATTAGGTAAAACTGGTTTCAGGTTACAGCAGGCAGTTTCAGCAGCCAGGTTTGCAGAGAATTACATTCTTGGAGCAATGTTATGAGCCCTGAGTACCTTGACTCTGTTTTAGTTGGGTATGACAAGAGTGACCTATTAAATAATTTGCATAATCAACGTTCACAGCAACATTATTAACAATAGCCACAGTAGAAGTGGCTGGCAAGTTGGCCAAATAGGAGCTGCTCTGGTCTGCAGCTCCCAGCAAGATCAATGCAGAAGGCAGGTGATTTCTGCATTTCCAACTGAGGTACATGGCTCATTTCATTGGGACTGGTTAGACAGTGGGTGCAGCCCACGGAGGGTGAGCCAAAGGAGGGTGGGGCGTCACGTCACCTGCGAAGCATAAGTGGTCGAGGAACTCCCTCCCCTAGCCAAGGGAAGCCATGAGGGACTGTGCCATGAGGAATGGTGCATTCTGGCTCAGATACTGTGCTTTTCACACGGTCTTCACAACCAGCAGACGAGGAGATTCCCACAGGTGCCTACACCACCAGGGCCCTGGATTTCAAGAACAAAACTGGGTGACTATTTGAGCAGACACCAAGCTAGCTGCAGGAATTTCTTTTTCCATACCCCAGGGATGCCTGGAACACCAGCGAGATAGAACCATTCACTACTCTGGAAAGGGGGCTGAAGCCAGGGGGCCAAGTGGTCTAGCTCAGTGGATCGCATCCCCACGGAGCCCAACAAGCTAAGATACACTGGCTTGAAATTCTTGCTGCCAGCATAGCAGTCTGAGGTCAACCTGGGATGCTTGAGCTTGCTGGGTGGAGGGGCGTCCACCATTACTGAGGCATGAGCAGGCAGTTTTCCCCTCACAGTGTAAATAAAGCCACTGGGAAGTTTGAACTGGGTGTAGCATACCACAGCTCAGCAAAGCCACTGTAGCCAGACTGCCTCTCTAGATTCCTCCTCTCTGGGGAGGGCATCTCTGAAAGAAAGGCAGCAGCCCCAGTCAGGGGCTTACAGATAAAACACCTATCTCCCTGGGACAGAGCACCTAGCGAAAGGGGCCACTATGGCCACAGCGTCAGCAGACTTAAACATTCCTGCCTGCTGGCTCTGAAGAGAGCAGCGGATATCCCAGCACAGCGCTCAAGCTCTGCTAAGGGACAGACTGCCTTCTCAGGTGGGTCCCTGACCCTGTGCCTCCTGACTAGGAGACATCTCCCAGCAGGGGTCGACAGACACCTTATACAGGAGAGCTCTAGCTGGCATCTGGCAGGTCCCCCTCTGGGACAAAGCTTCCAGAGGAAGGAACAAGCAGCAATCTTTGCTGTTCTGCAGACTCTGCTGGTGATACACAGGCAAACATGGTCTGGAGTGGACCTCTAACAAACTCTAGTAGACTTGCAGCAGAGGAGCCTGACTGTTAGAAGGAAAATTAAAAAACAGAAAGGGATAGCATCAACATCAACAAAAAAGATGTCCACACAAAAACCCCATCCAAAGATCACCAACATCAAAGACCAAAGGTAGATAAATCCATGAAGATGAGGAAACACCAGCACAAAAATCCTGAAAATTCCAAAAGCCACAAGGTCTCTTCTCCTCCAAAGGATCACAACACCTCGCCAGCAAGGGAACAAAGCTGGATGGAGAATGAGTTTGACAAATTGACAGAAGTATGCTTCAGAAGGTGTGTAATAACAAACTCCTCCAAGCTAATGGAGCATGTTCTAACCCAATGCAAGGAAGTTAAGAACCTTGTAAAAAGGTTAGAGGAATTGCTAACTAGAATAACCAGTTTAGAGAAGAACATAAATCACCTGATGGAGCTGAAAAACACAGCACGAGAACTTTATGAAGCACACGCAAGTATCAATAGCCGAATCAATCAAGCAGAAGAAAGGATATCAGAGATTGAAGATCAACTTAATGAAATAAAGTGTGAAGACAAGATTAGAGAAAAAAGAATCCAAAGGAATGAACAAAGCCTTCAAAAATATGGGGCTATGTGAAAAGACCAAATCTATGTCTGATTAGTGTACCTGAAAGTGACGGGGAGTATGGAACCAAGTTGGAAAACACTCTGCAGGATATTATCCAGGAGAACTTCCCCAACCTAGCAAGGCAGGCCAACATTCATATTCAGGAAATACACAGAATATCACAAAGATACTCCTTGAGAAGAGCAACCACAAGACACATAATCATCAGATTCACCAAGGTTGAAATGAAGGAAAAAATGTTAAGGGCAGCCAGAGAGAAACGTGGGGTTACCCACAAAAAGAAGCCCATCAAACTAATAGCAGATATCTCTGCAGAAACCCTACAAGCCAGAAGAGAGTGGGAGCTAATATTCAACATTTTTAAAGAAAATAATTTTCAACCCAGAATTTTATATCCAGCCAAACTAAGCTTCGTAAGCAAAGGAGAAATAAAATCCTTTACAGACAAGCAAATGCTGAGAGATTTTGTCATCACCAGGCCTGTCTTCCAAGAGCTCCTGAAGGAAGCACTAAACATGGAAAGGAACAACCAGTACCAGCCACTGCAAAAACATGCCAAATTGTAAGACCATTGACACTATGAAGAAACTGCATCAACTAACAGGCAAATAACCAGTTAGCATCATAATGACAGGATCAAATTCACACATAACAATATTAACCTTAAATGTAAATTGGCTAAATGCCCCAATTAAAAAATGCAGACTGGCAAATTGGATAAAGAGTCAAGACCTATTGGTGTGCGGTATCCAGGAGACTCATGTCACATGCAAAGACACACATAAGCTCAAAATAAAGGGATGGAGGAGGATTTACCAAGCAAATGGAAAGCAAAAAAAAAAAAAAAAAAAAAAAAAAAAACCCAAAACAAAAACAAACAAACAAACAAAAAAACAACCAGGGGTTGCAATCCTAGTCTCTGATAAAACAGACTTTAAACCAACAAAGATCAAAAGAGACAAAGAAGGTCATTACACAATGGTAAAGGGATCAACTCAATAAGAAGAGCTAATTGTCCTAAATGCACCCAATAAAGGAGCACCCAGATTCATAAAGCAAGTTCTTAGAGACCTACAAAGAGACTTAGACTCCCACACAATAATAGTGGGAGACTTTAACACCCCACTGTCAATACTAGACAGATCAATGAGACAGAAAATTAACAAGGATATCCATGACTTGAACTCAGTTCTGGACCAAGGCGGACCTAATAGACATCTACAGAACTCTCTACCCAAATCAATAGAATATACATTCTTCTTAGCACCACATCACACTTATTCTAAAATTGACCACATAATTGGAGGTAAAACACTCCTCAGCAAATGCAAAAGAATGGAAATCATAACAGTCTCTCAGACCACAGTGCAATCAAATTAGAACTCAGGATTAAGAAATTCCCCCAAAACTGCAAAATTACATGGAAAATGAACAACCTGTTCCTGAATGACTACTGGGTAAATAACAAAATTAAGACAAAAATAAATAAGTTCTTTGAAACCAATGAGAACAAGGATACAATGTACCAGAATCTCTGTGACACAGCTACAGCAGTATTTAGAAGGAAATTTATAGCACTAAATGCCCACAGGAGAAAGTGGGAAAGATCTAAAATCAACACCCTAACATCACAATTAAAAGAACTATAGAAGCAAGAGCAAACAAATTCAAAAGCTAGCAGAAGACAAGAAATAACTAAGATCAGAGCAGAACTGAAGGAGATAGAGACACGAAAAACCCTCCAAAAAATCAATGAATCCAGGAGCTGCTTTTTTGAAAAGATTAACAAAATAGACTACTAGCCAGACTAATAAAGAAGAAAAGAGAGAAGAATCAAATAGACACAATAAAAAATATAAAGGGTATATCACCAATGATCCCAAAGAAATACAAACTACCATCAGAGAATACTATAAACACCTCTATGAAAATAAACCAGAAAATCTAGAAGAAATGGATAAATTCCTGGACACATATACCCTCCCAAGACTAAACCAGGAAGAATTTGAATCCCTGAATAGACCAATAACAAGTTCTGAAATTTAGGCAGTAACTAATAGCCTACCAACCATAAAAAGCCCAGGACCACACGGATTCACAGCTGAATTCTACCAGAGGTACAGAGAAGAGATGGTACCATTCCTTCTGAAACTATTCCAAACAACAGAAAAAGAGGGAATCCTCCCTAACTCATTTTATGAGGCCAGCATCATACTGATTCCAAAACCTGGCAGAGACACAACAAAAAAAGAAAATTTCAGGCCAATATCCCTGATGAACATCAATGCAAAAGCCCTCAATAAAATACTGGCAAACCAAATCCAGCAGCACATCAAAAAGCTTATCCACCACGATCAAGTTGCCTTCATCCCTGGGATGCAAGGCTAGTTTAACATTTGCATATTGATAAATGCAATCTATCACATAAACAGAACCAATGAGAAAAACCACGATTATCTTAACAGATGCAGAAAAGGCCTTCGATAAAATTCAACACCCCTTCATGCTAAAAACTCTCAACGAAGTAGGTATTGATGGTACATATCTCAAAATAATAAGAGCTATTTAGGACAAAGCCACAGCCAATATCTTACTGAATGGGCAAAAGCTGGAAGCATTCCCTTTGAACACTGGCACAAGACAAGGATGCCCTCTCACACCACTCCTACTCAACACAGTGTTGGAAGTTCTGGCCAGGGCAATCAGGCAAGAGAAAGAAATAAAGGTATTCAAATAGGAAGAGAGGAAGTCAAATTGTCTCTGTTTGCAGATGACATGATTGCATATTTAGAAAACCCCATCGTCTCAGCCCAAAATCTCCTAAAACTGATAAGGAACTTCAGCAAAGTCTCAGGATACAAAATCAATGTGCAAAAATCACAAGCATTCCTATACACCAATAACAGACAGACAGCCAAATCATGAGCACACTCCCATTTACAATTGCTACAAAGAGAATTAAATACCTAGGAATACAACTTACAAGGATTGTGAAGGACTTCTTCAAGGAGAACTACAAACCGCTGCTCAAGGAAGTAAGAGAGGACACAAACAAATGGAAAAACATTCCATGCTCATGGATAGGAAGAATCAATATTGTGAAAATGGGCATACTGCCCAAAGTAATTTATAGATTCAGTGCTATTCCCATCAAACTACCATTGACTTTCTTCACAGAATTAGAAAAAAAGCTATCTTAAATTTCGTATGGAACCAAAAAGGAGCCCGTATAGCCAAGGCAATCCTAAGCAAAAAGAACAAAGCTGGAGGCATCACACTACCTGACTTCAAACTATACTACAAGGTTACATTAACCAAAACAGCATGGTACTCGTACCAAAACAAATATATAGACCAATGGAACAGAACAGAGCCCTCAGAAATAACACTGCACATCTACAACAATCTGATCTTTGACAAACCTGACAAAAACAAGCAATGGGGAAAGGATTCCCTATTTAATAAATGGCGTTGGGAAAACTGGCTAGCCATATGCAGAAAACTGAAAATGGACCCCTTCTTTACACCTTATACAAAAATTAATTCAAGATGGATTAAAGAATTAAACATAAGACCTAAAACCATAAAAACCCTAGAAGTTTTATGCCTGAATGGCAATACCATTCAGGACATAGGCATGGGCAAAGACTTTATGACTAAAACACCAAAAGCAATGGCAACAAAAGCCAAAATTGTCAAATGGGATCTAATTAAAATAAAGAGCTTCTGCACAGCAAAATAAACTATCATCAGTCTACAGGCAACCTACAGAATGGAAGAAAATTTTTGCAATCTATCCATCTGACAAAGGGCTAATATCCAGACTCTACAAAGAACTTAAACAAATTTACAAGAAAAAAAACAAACAATTCCATCAAAAAGTAGGTGAAGGATATGAACAGATACTTCTCAAAAGAAGACATTTATGTGGCCAAGAAACATATGAAACAAAGCTCATCGTCACTCGTCATTAGAGAAATGCAAATCAAAACCACAATGAGATACCATCTTACACCAGTTAGAATGGCAATCATTAAAAAGTCAGGAAACAACAGATGCTGGAGAGGATGTGAAGAAATAGCAACACTTTTACACTGTTGGTGGGACTGTAAATTAGTTCAACCATTGTGGAAGACAGTGTGGTGATTCCTCAAGGATCTAGAATCAGGAATACCATCTGACCCAGCAATCTCACTACTGGGTATACACCTAAAGGATTATAAATCATTCTACTATAGAGACACATGCACACGTATGTTTATTGCAGCACTATTCACAATAGCAAAGACTTGGAAGCAACCCAAATGCCCATCAATGATAGACTGGATAGAGAAAATATGGCACTTATACACCATGGAATACTATGCAGCCATAAAAAAGGATGAGTTCATGTCCTTTGCAGGGGCATGGATGAAGCTGGAAACCATCATTCTCAGCAAACTAACACAGGAACAGAAAACCAAACACCACATGTTCTCACTCATAAGTGGGTATTGAACAATAAGAACACATGGACACAGGGAAGGGAACATCACACACTGGGGCCTGTCAGGGGGTGGGGGACTAGGGGAGGAGTAGCATTAGGAGAAATACCTAATGTAGATGACAGGTTGATAGGTGCAGCAAACCACCACGGCACATGTATACCTATGTAACGAACCTACACGTTCCGCACATGTATCCCAGAACTTAATGTATAATAAAAACCAAAACCAAACAAACAAAAAATAGCCACAATATGGAAACATCCAGCATATCCATCAACAGATGAGTGAGTTTTAAAATGTGGTATATATACACAATAGAATACTGTTCATCCTAAAAAAAAAAAATAGGAAATTCTGTCATTTGTAACAACATGGATGAACTAGAGGACATTATGCTAAGTGAAATAAGCCAGGCACAGAAAGACAAATACCATATGATCTCACCTATTTGTGGAGTCTAAAAAAAGTCAAACTCATAGAAGTAGAGGGTAAGGCCAGGTGCGGTGACTCATGCCCGTAATCCCAGCACTTTGGGAGGCTGAGGCAGGTGGATCACTTGAGGCTGGGAGTTCAAGGCCAGCCTCGCCAACATGGTGAAACCCTGTCTCTACTAAAAATACAAAAATTAGCTGGGTGTGGTGTCATACGCCTGTAATCCCAGGTACTCAGGAGGCTGAGGCACAAGAATCGCTTGAACCCAGGAGACGGAGGTTGCAGTGAGCCGAGATCTCACTAGAGGCCAGTGGGGGTGGAGGTGGTGGGGAAAGGGGAGGGATTGGTCAAGTGGTACAAAGTTTCAGTTAGGAGTAATAAGTTCTAGTGATCCATTATTGCATAGCCTGGTGACCATAGTTAGTAATACTTTATTATATATTTCAAAACAGTAAAAAAAAAAAGAGGATTTTTAATGTTCTCACCATGAACGAAAAATGTTTACAATACATAAAATGTTTACAATACAAAAAATACTTTTTCTTAAAGCAAAAATACTTTACTTACTGTACTTCCCATTTTTCGAAAAATAGATGCATAAACAATAGTCTAGAAAGCTATGTCTAGATAGTAGGATCTTGCATGATTCTTTCTTTGAAGTGCCTACATGTGTTTTCTGATTTGGTACAACAACATGTATAAATTCTATATATAAAAGTGCCACACCAAGCTCACAGTGTAGATCCTGAAACTAGATCTCACAACAGCTGCTTTATTTGGTAAGTGATCTCAAGGAATAGGAGGGGGGAGGTGGAAGAGTGACACTGGGCTGGAAGGAAAGCCAAATCAAGGATGGGTTATAAAGCTGACCACCACCATGGGAAACTGAGGTGTTCTTTCTAGAAATCCTTCCAAAGAGCCATGTAGAATGAACCTCATCATTGTCTGCCTGAGGGAGATAAGATGGAAGGATTTATCCACGGCTTCTCTCCCCACTGGTCAAAGGTGTTCAGTTCCTCCTATTTCCAGATTTGCACATTTGACAGAAGGGCTAAGAAGGCTGCTGCAGGTGTCCCACTGACTACATCAGAGAAGCCTCAGGGCAGAAAACAACAGCTTGACAGAGCAGCTGGAGTGAGCTGCTGAAATGTAACTGAAGTGAAAAGGAGGAGGTGAGAGGGTGAGCATACATGCACCTTATATAATATAATGTTGTATAACATTAGAGATGGAAATATCTAGTTTTTCAAGCTGTGACTTTCTTGTTAATTAGAATATTATAAGTCCCATGAGTAAGAGCAATTGTAACAGAAAAGGCCAAATGGAAGCCCCTGAAACTGCCAAATCCCCATCCAGCCAAGATAGTAAATAAAAACCATATCACATCTCCAAGGGACATAGAAGAGATTACAGCCACCCTCAAAGACTTAAAGGATGCAAGGGTAGTTGTTCCCATTGAGTTACCATTCTCGCATCTATAAAAACCAGATGGTAAATGACTGTGTACTTTTTTAGTTTAACAAAGGAGTAGTCCCAATTGCAGCTACTGCACTGGGTGTGATATCTTTACTAGAGAAGATTAATACAGCCTCTAGTATGTAGTATGCCATCATTGATCTGATGAAATAGTCTTTTCATACCAATCAAAAAAGAGGATCAATGCAGTTTGCATTAGCAGGAAATGACAATGGTATAAATTCACAGGATTGCCCCAGGACTATATTAGTTCTTCTCTTATTTTCTGTCATAGGGATCTATACTATCTGGTCATTTCACAAAAATTACATTGGTCTACTATTTTGAGGATACATGATAATGAGCAAGATGTGGCATGTACTGTAGATGCCTTCATAGATATGTATAATCCAGAGGGCACAACATTAACCCTATGAAGATCCAGAGGCCTGCCAGATTAGGACAGGACATGTACTGATGGCCCCTTCAAAGTAAAAAGTAGTTTGCTGCATCTTTCACTGCCTACTTGTAAGAAAGAAGCACACCACTTGTTAGGCTCCCTTGGTTTTGCTTGTGGAACATTCCACACTGGTGGAATGCAGCTCCTGGCAGGCTACTGGGCCCCTATAGGCTGAGGACTTCACCACGGGACACCAAGTGGCCATATGGCCAGAACAGCTCATCATGAGCCAGATGATCTCAAAGACCCAAGTTACAAGGATAGGTGGGCTCAGCCGGAATCTAATGTAAGAGGAAGCAGTACACTGGAGAATGTGCTTGAGCAGGTGCACAAGGCACAGATAAGCTGCAGGAAAGGTGGCCAGGCTCCCTAAGCCCCCTGCTGTGGCACTGACTGACATCTCTTCCTTGGCTCTCACCAATGACTTCATGGTGGTTTTTCTATGACTAGCGAACAGAGGAGAGGAACTCAAGCTTGACTCACAGACAGGTCAGCTTGGTGAAGTTGGTAGGTGTTGATAATGGACTGATGCCCACAACACTCCCATTCACAAGTGACCTTGAAAGACCATAGTGTGGGCAAAGACAGCAGTGAGGCAAATCTTCTCAATGGAAAAGCCATTTTAGAAAAAATATTAAATTGCCTTTGTATATATTTATGTATTAACATTCTTACATGTATTACCTCTACTTGCAGATTTATATACGGCTTACAAATATTTTTATTGAGTATTGTTTAAGTGATCTGGATTTAAATCACACCATCGGTTTAAAAAAAATAGGCATTTTGATATTATTAACAATGTTGGCTGGGTGTAGTGGCTCACTCCTGTAATCCCAGCACTTTGGGAGGCCGGGAAGTTGGGAGGATCTCTTGAGCCCAGGAGTTTGAGACCAGCCTAGGCAACATAGCGAGACCTAGTCTGTACAAAAAAAAATTTTTAATTAGCCAGGTGTGATGGTGCATGCCTGTAGTCCCAGCTACTTGGGAGGCTGAGGTGAGAGGATTGCTTCAGCTAGGGAGGTTAAGGCTGCAGTGAGCGGTGATCACACCACTGCACTCCAGCCTGGGCAACAGTGTGAGACCCTGTCTCAAAAAACAAACAAACAAACAAACAAACAAAAACAATGTTAGTAGGAGAGAAAAGAAGGAGAAGACTTCTAAGACCATATGGAAATCATGCATAAGAAATAATAGGCTCTTAGGGAACTCTATTATTATTGCCTCAGCAAGGGGAGATTTGGTAGGCCTTGGCAAAACAACAAGAAGCCAAATTGGAATAAGAGAAAGACAACAGCATTTCAGAAACAAACAAATGCAGCTTTGAGTCAAGGCTCTGTCACTTCCAGAGAGTATGACTTTGGAAAAGTTATTTAACCTCTCTGGACCTCAGTTTCCTCCTTTGTAAAATGAGACTGATGATATCTTAACTAGATTCTTGATGGGCATATCAAGTACAGTTGTACAGCCTGTGAACAAGGGAACCTAGTGGAAGAGGTGAGAAGGGACTAGCATCCCACCTGAGCTCAGATCACTGGACAGCATCTATCTTGCAGAAGTTCTGTTTATAGTTTGCACAAGGCCCCTATAGGTTACCTCAGGCCTAGTTGTTCTAAGGATTTAAGAGACATCACATTTGTAAAGCACTTAGTAAGCAGCAATCAATGGTAGCTGCTATTGTATTCTGTCAGTTACTGAAAACCTACACGGCAAACAGAAGTCAGGACCCAGCTCTGTGTGATAGAGATGGCCACAACAGGAAGGGCAGGTCTCTGACAGAGTCTGCTTCCCCAGGGACTCTAAAGGACATAAGGGCAGGGACCTGTCTTACTCACCTCTGATGTTCCGGGCAGTTAGCTGACGATAAATTTTTGTTGAGTGATTGAGTAAACAGAAGGATCCTCTTCCCTTTTGTTTTTGTTTTTGAAAAAGTAACAGTAATAAAAACGTCTTTGAAAATATTTGCTTGGATGCGTTCTTGAGCGCCTTCTTCTCCTATGTTGGTTTTCAGTTCACCAGTTCTCAGACTGAGTTTTCTCGTTTTGAGGCCACTTACAGGGTAAATTTAGGTCTGTGTTCAGAGTATGTCACTTCACTGTCTTACATTTAGAAAGAGAATCCTCAAATAACAAAACCAAGCAATAACAACTCCACAGATTCTCCAAGCTTGTTCTTTGTCGTGTTTGCCATGTAATCAAACTTTCAGCCCCACAGAAGTGGAACTAAACCACCCATAATGTTACATTGATCAAACTTAAGTCTGATTTCTTTAGAGTCTTTCGGCTGATGCTTGTTGTCTCTTCCTTTCTTTTAGATTACTGAATGAGTCTGGCTCTTTAAATTACGCTTAGTGAACTCAATGATTGCTGAGGACAGCAACTAGGACTGGAAGAAATTGTCTGCTAAGTGGTAGAAAAACCCTCTCATGGTCCCACCCAGACTCCTCCTCATCTTCCAATGTGCACTGGAGACTCAAACCACACCATGACCCCGTTAGCAGCATAGGGAGGTTCCAGAATGGTCCTCTTCAGTGATAACGAGGGAATACATCTGAGGTAGGTTTCATCTTCCCCTAAACAAAACTGGCAATGGAATCTAGCAAAATAATCTTTTCAGTTTAACAAATTTAATTTTTCTATAGTTGCCTCTGAGTTAGGCAACTAGATCTAAAATATGATGTGATGTGATAAAATGCAATATGCCTTGCTAATATGGGTCACTTATTCTGTTTGTGTCCTACCCCTGTTCCACTGCTGGGTTGAATCCCTCACTTTCTCTTGGTTCACCAGTGACTAGGCTCATTAACTTGTCAGAATTAAACTTTACGTGTTGTGCTGCTAGTTTTTTTTTTTCTTTAACACAACCTATTTTTATTTCTTTTTAAAAAATTCAACTTTGATTTTAGATTCATGGGGTACATGTGCAGGCTTGTTACACTGGTATATTGCATGATGCTGAGGTGTGGGGTACAACTGACCCCTTCACCCAGGTAGTGAGGATAGTACCCAATAGGTAGTTTTCCAGTCCTTGCCCCTCTCCCTTCTTCCCCATTCTTGGAGTTCCCAGTGTCTATTGTTCTTATGTTTGTATCCATGTGTACCCAATATTTAGCTCCCACTTGTAAGTAAGAACATGTGGTATTTGGTTTTCTGTTCCTGTGTTAATTCTCTTAGAATAATGGCCTCCAGCTGCATCCTTGTTGCTACAAAGGACATGATTTTGTTCTTTTTGTGGCTGCATAGTATTCTATGGTGTATAAGTACCACATTTTCTTTAACCAATCCACCATGGATGGGCACCTAGGTTGATTTCATGTCTTTGCTATTGTGAATAGTGCTGTGATGGACATACAAGTGCATGTGTCTTTTTGGTAGAACGATTTCTTTTCCTTTGGGTATATACTCAGCAATGGGATTTCTGGGTTGAATGGTAGCTCTGTTTTGAGTTATTTGAGAAATCTCCAAAATGCTTCCCATGGCGGCTGAACTAATTTATTAATACATTCCTATCAGCAATGTGTAAGTGTTCCTTTTTCTCTGAAGCCTTGTCAGCATCTATTATTTTTTTACTTTTTATAATAGCCATTCCAACTGGTGTGAGATGGTATTTATTGTGGTTTTGATTTGCATTTCTCTGATGATTAGTCATGATGAGCATTTTTTAATGTTTGTTGGCTACCTGTATGTCTTCTTTTGAGAAGTGTCTGTTCATGTCCTTTGCTCATTTTTTAATGGAGTTGTTTTTTTGCTTGTTGACATGTTTAAGTTCCTTATAGATTCTGGATATTAGACCTTTGTTTGATGCATAGTTTGTGAAAACTTTCTCCCATTTCTGTAGGTTGTCTGTTTACTCTGTTGATAGTTTCTTTTGTTGGGCAGAAGCTCTTTAGTTTAATTAGGTCCCACTTGTCAATTTTTGGTTTTGTGATTGCTTTTGAGGTCTTAGCCATAAATTCCTTGCCCAGGCTGATGTCCAGAATGGTATTTCCTAGATTTTTTTTCTGGGGTTTTTATAGTTTGAGTTCTTACATTTAAATATTTGATCAGTCTTAATTTTTATACATGGTGACAGGTACGGATCTAGTTTTATTCTTCTGCATATGACTAGCCAGTTATCCTAGCATCATTATTAAAGGGAGTCCTTTCCCCATTGCTTCTTTTTGTCAGCTTTGTCAAAGATCAATTGGTTATAGGTGTATGATTTTATTTCTGGGTTCCCTATTCTGTTCCATTGGTCTGTGTGTCTGTTTTTGTACCAGTGCCATGCTGTTTTGGTTACTGCAGCCTTATAGAATAATTTGAAGTCAGGTAATGTGACGCCTCTGGCTTTGTTCTTTTTGCTTAGGATTGCTTTGGCGATTCAGGATCTTTTTTGGTTCCATGTGAATTTTAGAATAGTTTTTTTCTAATTCTTTGAAAAATGACGTTGGTAGTTTGATAGGAATAGTGTTGACTCTGTAGACTGATTTGGGCAATATGGCCATTTTAACAATATTGATTCTTCCAATTCATGAGCAAGAAATGTTTTTCCATTTGTTTGTGTCATCTCTGAGTTCTTTCAGCAGTGTTTTGTAGTTCTCCTAGAGATTTTTCACCTCCTTGGTTAAAGCTGTATCCCTAGGTATTTTATTTTTTGTGGCTATTGTAAATGGGATTGCATTTTTGATTTGGCTTGAACATTACTGGTGTATAAAAATGCTACTGATTTTGTACATTGGTTTTGTATCCAAACAACTTTACTGAAGTTGTTTATCAGTTCCAGGAGCCTTTTGGTAGAGTCTTCAGGGTTTTCTAGGTATAGAATCATATCGTCAGGGAAGACAGATAGTTTGACTTCTTTTCCTATTTGGATGCCTTTTATTTCTTTCTCTTGTTTGATTGCTCTGGCTAGGACTTCCAGTACTATGTTGAATAGGAGAGGTGAGAGTGGGCATTTTTGTCTTGTTCCAGTTCTTAAGAGGAATGCTTCCGGCTTTTGCCCACTCAGAATGATATTGGCGGCAGGTCTGTCATGGATGGCTCTTACTATTTTGAGGTATGTTCCTTCGATAGTGCTGCTTGTTTTAAACAGTGTTGAGAACTCCAGTCCCTGTAACTGTAACAGCAAAATTTCCCACAGAAGAGCAGCCTCAGTGAGCATAAGAAGGGGCCTTTGTTCTTCCTCAAAACAACTAATCCCTCTTGTAAATAGGCCTGCCATGCAACCCCGGAGACTTCTAAAGAGTTTTGTACTTGGAGCTTTCTTTAGTTCCTCCGAGCATGTTTCATTGTAACAGTGGGCCAGGTCTTCCGCTGGTTTTAACTGCGTATTTTGAGGTTGCTTTTAGGACAGCTGCTTTTAAGTTAATCTTTATATTCACTGACTTTGATGGAAAACAAACAGTATTATGTCGTTGCTTCTATATGAGCACAGGATTTCTTAGGATTAACTCTATTCAAGCCTAAATAGTAAACTTTTGGGCAAACATTTAAGAGAGTACATCACTGTAAATGCAGTTTATAATTTTTTTCTCATTAAATGAATTATATTCAGTAGATTTTCTTTACAGGAAAATGATAGAAGAAAGTTTAAAAATGACATTCTGCACAATCATTATATTTTGGAATGCTGCATTAGAAAATCACAAAAGATTTGAAAAGAGAAGGATACCAATCCTCAGATATGATTTTCTGTTTTTGATTCTAATAAAATAAGCCAAGTGTTCTGTTCCTGATCTACGGAGAAGTTCTAGGTTCCTTTAATATCAAAATCCTTCCTAATGCCTATCAAGTTATCTTTCTGAGGTACTCCCCAGGCTTCCCAATTAACTTCACAAACCCCACTTCACAGATTACCCAAAATAACAGAAAGAGGCCTTGTAAGGGAATGGTTAAGAGTATGAGCCTGATGCAAGACTAGCTCTACCCCTTACTACCTATGACAATGACAATGAGCAAGTTGCCTAAACTCTCTGTGCCTCATTTTCCCATCGTAAAATAGGAATAGGAACAATACATATCTCTGAGAGTTATTAGGATTAAATAAGTTAATATTTCTAAAGGGGTTAGAATAGTGCTTGGCAGGAATTACTACATAAATGTTGCTAAATTAAATTTTACCTAAGTCTAATCCTGACTTGCTTTTTCTCTCCAAAATCAGAAGGATTTATATCCCATAAATTTAGTGAAAAAAACTGTTCGTGATTTTTAATGCTGTTTATATAAATAACATATGTAATAAGTATCTTCAGGCTGGGTGTGGTGGCTCACACCTGTAATCCTAGCACTTTGAGAGGCCTAGATGGGCACATCACTTGAGGCCAGGAGTTTGAGACCAGTCTGGCCAACATGGTGAAACCCTGTCTCTACTAAAAATACAAAAATTAGCCAGACTTGGTGGTGTGCACCTGTAGTCCCAGCAACTAGGAAGGCTGAGGCAGGAGAATTGCTTGAACCCGAGATATGGAGGTTGCAATGAGCCAAAATCATGCCACTGCACTCCAGCCTGGGCGACAGAGCAAAACTCCGTTTCCAAAAATAAATAAATAAAATAATAATAATAAGTATCTTCATTATAGATTATAAACAATCTAGATGTCCAACAATAAACAAATTGTTAAATATTATTTAATTTTAAAAAGTAAAATACAAATTTATTTTCAATATGTGTTTAAGTGGAAAAAGCAGGTTACATAAAATAATGTACATTATGATTTAATTTTTATTGAAACAATATGTATTATAGAAGAAGGCAAAAGAAAAGTCTAAACAGATAGATACCAGAATGCTCCCAGTGTTATTTTGGGTGATGAAATGATGAGTGGTTTTTATTTTCTTCTTCTTTTTTTTTTTTTTTAAATCTAGATCTTCTAAATTGTCTCCAAGAACATTTGTGATTTATAAATAAAAAGAAATTAAGAATTTTAATAAAAACATAAATTTATGATCGTGGAAATTTATTTTCTTTCCATGGAAATCTCTAAGGAAAATGAAGAAATATACTGAATTCCTCTAATTAAATATAATCACAATTTTCATTAACCTCAAAGTTATCAAGGAAGAGCTATTTTAACCCATTGCCTTAGATATCATAAGATATAAAAGGTATTTTAAACAATTTTGCATTTATCAGCTTATATATTTTAATCATTTGTTCTCATTTTTATCGTACATTAGTTGTGGAGAAGTAGTGTAGTGTTGGTTTGTCTTATGTAATCTGACTTTTAAAACAACTCATTATACTAAATTTGAGAACTGAGGTAGATATTTTACAGATAAAATAATTTTTAATTATGTTTTTTGAATCTAGCAAGTAACAGAAATAAAAAGTTTTAAGGGATTATTTGTGAGGCAAGATAGATAACTACTTAGATTGGATAAATTTTCCAGGAGCCAGAGAGAAAAGTTATATATAATATCACCTTACCATTACTGTTATTAGGGAGATTTTATTAGGTCACTTCTGATTTTTGCCCTTCTTCAAGTGTGACTTTATTTATCCTCAAACGGACTTGTTGGTTTCTTCCAATCTCATCTCAGGCTTAAGCAAAATATTTGCGTGTTCCTCCTTTTTTTTCTTTTTTTAACTATGTTGAAGATTATCCTTCCTCTCTCATACTAAGAATCATAAACCTAAGAGCCAAAATACAGTACAACAGGAAACTAATAATTTGATATGTTTAAAATGTACAGATTTGAGGGATGTCGTCTGATTTTTGTTCCCCAACAGAACTGAAAAAAACCCATTTCTGCCACTTGTCGAATCAACTGTTAACCTTCTAACTCACACATTTTTCACGTATTAGAAATACCCGTTTTAACCTTGCTAAGTCTGTGCAATCATCTTCTCTAGCTCTCTTGCTTCTAAGAGGAATTCCCACTGGATTATTGAAAACTTTCTGCTTTGCTTTCCTTAAATCTGTTCTCAGATTTAGAAAAAAAGGTTCTGAAAAGAAGATGACCCAGTTTTCTAGAGTGAATAAAACTTTTCACACCACAGTGGAAATCTTACAGTATTTTTTTCAAAGTTGTAAGACGGTGAGGAAAGGGTATCTTTTTCTTCTTATTAGAAGTATTGAATAAAAGATATATAATATGTCAAAAATCTTACTTAGAAAATCTATGAACCAAAAATCTGTAAAGACAGCCCAGAAAACTACAAGGAGGTTAAAAAAAAGAAAAAAGTGAGGCAAAGCCTCTTTCTCTTGTAATCTAGCTTCTCTATGTATTGAAAGACTCAACGTGGCTTTCTATTTCAAATCTTACACTATGAAGACATTTGATTAACCAACGATATTAGGTTAATAAAATATTTTACTCAAGAAAACAGCCCTCTTATACCATATAAAAAGAGAAAAATATTCAAATAGAACTCAGAATAGAAAGTACTAAAACTCTTTTACTCTATGTAAGGAAATTACCAGATTTTTTTTTTCTGGAAGATTGGTAGTTTTTCATATTCTTTCTCATATGCAGTTCCCCTTAAATTTATTGCCCTTTTATCTTCTGCTAAATCCACAAGAAACATTTTAAAGATATTCTCTCACAGTACCTAAAAAGTTAACTAAGTTTTTTCTACTGTCTCCATAATCCATTCCAATTATTTACTTTTAAATTTTTAATTCATCCATTTATGTATTGATTCACAAATACTTATGGAGTGCCTACGATGTTTCAGTGACTGGGTTAGGCTCTAGGGATACCACGTATGGTGAGCATGAACAGGCACAGCTCACACACTTATGGAGCTGATAGGCAAATGAGGTACTCAGGTATGAATCAAATGATCACATTAGCGGAGGCAGAATTATGAACTGAGGTTCATGTTCTGAAAAAAAGAACAGTCTCAGAGAGTGGACCCTCACTTAGAGTAGGGGACAGGGAGAGCTTCCCTGGGCAAACAAAACAAGGCATCAAGAACCAAAATGAGGCTGAGCCTAAGATTTAATTTCCTTTCATAAAAACATTGCAGGAAGCCAACCACACTATTAATTCTAAAGGTGAGCAGAACAAAATTTCATCTGAACCCATTTTCTGACCAAAAGTGTTTCTTCTTTTCTCATAGAAAATGGTTAGCATATCTCATCGAAGCATTATACAGAGTACTTTTTTGTTACCTGGCTGTTTCCATGTATCTAAGTAAGAAAAAGAGTGAAAAAAATTCTCAGCATTTTTTCGCCATTTTGTTTCTCTGTCAAATAAATTATCTTTTTCAAATATTTTCTATATAAAAAGATGTTTCATTGATTCTTATTTGCAAATCTATTCCACAATATTGCTATTACAGATTCCAATTTATTCTTTTTCACCCTCTTTGGAAATCTGTAACTATATATCAAATTACTACTCACTTATGTTTCATTAAATGGAACAACTTAGATAATTTTTATTTCTACTTGTTGCTTTAGTACTATTTTAAAATCATTGTGAAGAAGATACTTTTAATTTATTTTTTGAGACAGGGTCTCACTCTGTCACCCATGCTGGAGTGCAGTGGTGTGATCTCAGCTCACTGCAGCCTCCACCTCCCAGGCTTAGGCGATCCTCCCACCTTAGCCTCCCGAGTAGCTGGGTCCACAGTCACACACCACCATAACCGGCTAATTTTTTGTATTTTTTGTAGAGATGGGATTTCACCATGTTGCCCAGGCTGGTCTTGAACTCCTAAGCTCAAGTGATCTGCCCGCCTTAGCCTCCCAAGGTGCTGGGATTATGGGTGTGAGCCACATGCCCAGCCAGAAAATACTTTTATATCAGACTTTCCCTAGAACTCCAAATATATTTGATCCCTTTTTACTTGGTTGCTTTTATCTGTTGCTTTTATTTATTTTGAAACAGGGTCTCACTGTCGCTCAGATTGGAGTGCAGTGGTGCAAATCATAGCTCACTGCAGCCTTGAACTTCTGGGCTCAAGCAATCCTCCTGACTCAGCCTTCTGAACACCTGGAATTACAGGTGTATGCCTCATGCCCAGATAATTTTTAAAATTTTTGTATGGATGGGGTCTCGTTTTGTCCCTAAGGCTGGTCTTGAACTCTTGGTCTCAAGCAATCCTCCAACCTTGGCCTCCCAAAGTGCTGAGATTATAGGCGTGAGCCACTGTGCCAAGCCTCTTTTTATTTTTTTAAAGTTTATTCTTATTACAAAGCAAATACATGTCCTATAGAGAAAATAAGATTTTCAATAGTAAAATACAATAAAAACTTACCAATCCTGAACCAGAGATAACCACCATTAATATTTTGTTGTATACCTACATATAACTATATTTTTATATAATTTACTGGGTTTTCTCAGGATTTTCATGAAGTAGTTGAGTAAGCAAAAATGACAGCACTTTTTTCTTGGTTATAATTAATGATCTATTTACGGATTTTTTTTTTTTTTTTTTGAGATGGAGCCTTGCTCTATCATCCCAGGCTGGAGTGCAATGGCATGATCTTGGCTCACCGCAACCTCCGCCTCCTGGGTTCAAGCAGTTCTCCTGCCTCAGCCTCCCGAGTAGCTGGAATTACAGGCACGCCACCATGCCCAGCTAATTTTTGTATTTTTAGTAGAGATGAGGTTTCGCCATGTTCACCAGGCTAGTCTTGAACTCCTGACCTCAAGTGATCTGCTGGCCTCGGCCTCCCAAAGTGCTGGGATTACAGGCATGAGCCACCGCCCCTGGCCTATTTCTGGATTATTATTTGATTCAAATTTTTGTCAAATATCAAATTCTGTAAACCCTGAGTAGCTATTGTGTGGCTATTACAAAAATGGCATGATTCTTTTCTAAAACTATCACATAAATCATATTGGTACTATGTTAAAAAAATAGAGGTTTGTCTTATTTCAGTTATTTTACTCTAATTTTTATCTTTATTTTAAATTCTACTGGCTTTTTCCCTTATCTCATAAATTTCATATTTTTGCTATCAACACAGCATTTCAGTCTGTGGAGATCATTAGGAATCTCATTTTAGCTAACCCTCCTATTTTTGTGTCATCAACAAACTTAAAAATAATCTCTTCAAAGCCTTCATATAGATCATTAGTGAAAATGTTGAACATTTTGTAGAATATGTTAAGGCTGCCTAAGGGACAAGGACCAAGAGCAAAGTTGCTTCCTAACACAACTCTAGTGAAGACAACGGAAGGAAAAATAAGAAAGAGGCCAGTGGAAGCAGTAAAGACTTATTATGGTTGCATAGTTGGAAGTCCAGAATATGAGAAAGGAGAGAACTAAACCTACACTGCATATAAAAAACGGCACCCGCGGTGCCAGTAGCAAGAGAATCGGTGGAAGAATGCAGAAACCAATTCAAACAAATCTGTATAAATATTTGATGGTACATAAGGGAGGGCTATATATGAAATTGCAAAAGGTTGCATGTAAGTTTGTCTGGAATATTACAATAAAAATACATGCTTTTCAGCCAGGCTCGGTAGCTCACGCATGCAATTCCAGAACTTTAGGATGTTGAGGCAGGTGGATGGCTTGAGCCCAGGAGCTTGAGACCAGCCTGGGCAACATAGTGAGACATCATCTCTACAAAAAATACAAAAATTAGCTGGGCATAGTGGTGCATGCCTGAGATCCCAGCTCCCGAATATAGGAGGCTGAGGTGGGAGGATGGCTTGAGTCCAGGAGGCCAAGGCTACAGTGAGCTATGATTGCACCACTGCACTCCAGCCTGGGTGACAAAGTGAGACCCTGGATCAAAAAAAAAAAAAAGATACATGCTCTTCAGAGCTATTTAGAAGATGGAAGGAAGACTATTAATGATCCTTGCATCAGTGCATATGCTAGCCTACATGACACCTCTGTGTGAATTTGAAAAAGATGCCTCTTCCTCCTGGCTGACATAGCCCCACACAAGGACTTAGCGCTTGACAAGGAGAGCACAGGTTGAACCACAGCCCTCACTCACGCCTTAGCCAGGTGCCCCCGTGCACTGATCAGTGAGGTTTGCTGGGTCTCTCCACACCCCATTTCAGCTTTGCTAGCTGGCTCTCTGTTAAGCTCTGATGATAGGGGGGCTAGAGGGAGACTGAAATGTGGGAAGAGGAAGGAGGGACACACTTCATCCTGTGAGCTTCCTGTTTGCTTGTGGTTCTTGCTACTGGCACCCTATTAACTCTGCTTCACCATAGCAGCAGTTGGATCCAGTTTTCAGTTTCCCTACCACCTGCAGAAATAACTGGACTGCACCCCACCTCCCCACCAAGAGACACCAGCACCAAACCCCTCTTCAGAGACAGATCCCAGCTCCAAGAGACACTGCCTCCAAACTCAGAGACAACACCACCAACTGAGCAGTACCTTTCTCCTCAGATGTCTGAGTTTCAGCTTCATGCCGCTGCTCCTCTAAGTTTCTACATTTTAAGAATTCCAGCCTCTTACTTTTGTTCCCTCAGACCTAGAGGCGATTAAGAGTTCCCTGCAGTTGCTACCTCTGTAACATCTTAGATTTTTCTTTTCACCTTTTTGGTTACCAGGTTGACAATTTTATATTTCATTGACAATTCTTTTTTTTTTTTTTTAAGACAGTCTCACTCTGTCACCCAGGCTGGAGTGCATGGAGTGCAGTGGCTCAATCTCAGCTCACTGCAACCTCCACCCTCCCCACCCTGGGTTCAAGTGTCTGGCCTGTTGACAATTCTTTATATTAAATTATATTTATTGGTTGGGCGCAGTGGCTCACGCCTGTAATCTCAACACTTTGGGAGGCTGAGGTGGGCCAATCACATGAGGTCAGGGGTTCCAGACCAGCCTGGCCAACATGGCAAAACCCCATCTCTACTAAAAATACAAAAATTAGCTGGGCATGGTGGTGGGCGCCTGTAGTACCAACTACTCTGGAGGCTGAGGCAGAAGAATTGCTTGAACCCAAGAGGCAGAGATTGTAGTCAGCCAAGATCACACCACTGCACTCCAGCCTGGGCCACAGAGTACATGAGACTCTGTCTCAATAAATAAATATAAAAAATAAAAATTATATGTATTCAGGTAACTCTGCATAGTTCCTGTCTCTTGACTGAACCCTGAGTACACAAAGGAGAAGACAAATTAGAGCAATAAATCATCATAATCTATATACATTATTTTTCTTCAGGCATTACTTGGACTGTTCTAACATCAAAACTGCTCGATAAGAGGAAACAACTTTCCATCAGACTCGAATTGGGGATTCTTGCCAGAATTAAGGCTGTCACATACTGAAGGGCTAGCTGGCTTAGTTGGACTCCTGGTAGGAGAATGATAAACCCAGCCTATATCTTTCCAAAAGGGATGTACTAATCAGAAATAGGTTATTCTGCAGTAAACACCAGTCCTCTGACTAGTGATGGCTTACAGCAATTAATGTTTCTCTCTCTTGGAGGTTTCATAACAACTGAGGATCCATTACACCTTTGTTCTATGGCTCTTCCCCAAATATCTTTTTCATTTCATTGGAGACCTAAGCTGAAGGTATTGCCCCTACCCTTGTCTCACAGCAGAGGGAAAGGAATAAGAGTGGAATCATGCAATGGCTCACAAGCCTTCTGCTTGGAGGTGGTGTAAGTCACCTCCTCTTGCATTCCCTTGGTTAAAGCAAACCATATAGCCAAACCTGCTATCAGTGGGGCATTTTGGGTTAAGAGTTAACAAAATCTTTTCTCTGCTGTGTATGAATTTTAGCTTTAGTTAACATTCTAGTTCTGTTCCCCTAGAACCAGATTAGAGTACTATGTTAACAGTATTACTCAGCAACATTGCTTATAATAAAAAGGATCTCTGATTGGAAATTGCATCTGGAGTGGGAGGAACTATAAATGCACCATAAATATCTGATGGAGATTGTAGCTTCTAGCATCCTTGAATGTGCTGACTGTTTTAATTGAGTATGTGTAGTGATGCCAGAAATGACACATCTGAAGTTTGTTACAGGTGATATTGGCTCCTGTAGGGAATGAGACCTTAATTCAGGGTGGTTCCTGCACTTGCCTCATATGCATCACACCTTCATGCATTTGAGTTGTCTCTGGGCAGCTGCATAATTTGGAGGGACACCTGACACCACCTGTAGTTAATTGTGGTTCCTGTCTCATGTTTTCGTTTTTCTTTTCTTTCTTTCTTTCTTCTTCTTTTTTTTTTTTTTTGTCTTGAGACAGTCTCACTCTGTCACCAAGGCTGGAGTGCAGTGGCACGATCTCGGCTCACTGCAATCTCCACCTCCCAGATTCAAACGATCTTCCCACCTCAGCCCCCGATAGCTGGAATTACAGGCACCTGCCACTATGCACAGCTGATTTTTGTATTTTTACAAAAATTCACAGTGTTGGTTAGGCTGGTCTCGAACTCCTAACCTCAAGTGAGCTGCCCTCCATGACCTCCCAAAGTGCTAGGATTACAGGTACGAGCCACCACGCCCAGCCCTGTCCCATGTTTCTCTGAGTGAATCTGATGCCAAAGAGGTCTATGGTAGTTTTGTGAGTTTGAATCTTGACCTGAACATAATAATAGGTTTGATGCCATTGTGGGCACTGTAGGCAGAAATTCACATTCTGCCACAAGACATCAATATAAGAATGGATGTTCTTCTAACTGAAAGATGAACAGATAATTAGAAACAATAACAGTAGGAGGATTCTCCTAGAGGACCTAGGTACTTTTCATTAGACAACAGATTCATAGAAAACTACTGATCAATAGAGGAAAAATGGAAAGAGAAACACGTTTGTGGCTCAGAGAAACCTCACTTAGAAACCTGGCTCTGCTGCTTCCTGCCTGTAACCTGGGTGAGTTGCTTTACCCCTCTGAGCATAAGAATTCTCATCTATAAATTTACTATTTTTTTCAGGCATTTTTACTAAAAGAAAAAACTCAATTGGAACTCAGTTGAGAAAAAAAAAAAAAATCTAAAAGGGCACGAATGGTCCTGCAATCTAATGGACTTGAGTCTCCAGGACTCTTTCTTTGCCCCATCTGCAATTTTTTCAGTTTCTTGGCTTCATTCAATCCTACTCCAGGGACAGGATTTCTCTGTAGGACAGAGATGCTGCCAGCTCTGGCTTACATTCTTACCATGGGTATATATGACCCTTTCAAATTAATGATTTCATTTTAAAATGTAACTAAATGCTCTCTTACTATCTTACCTGTCTTCACTGAATTGCACTTCCTTATTTTAAAGGGTGATTGTTCTGTCATTTCCAGATTGAAGACAATCCTTGCTAGAGAAGTTGGGAAGAAAGAGTAAACTGATCATCATAAAGTTCTGCTGTCTAGTTCTGCTGACTTCATCAACATTATGGCATCTTTTCCAGAATGCTAGCCTATCCTTCACATGTTCTTGCTCAGAACATGGCTGGTATCTCATAGTGCCAGTCATCATTCATAATTACAAAGAAAGGTTAAATTTACCTTAGTGTCGCCAGATGTTATGCACATTATATTTCCAAATATAATTTTAAAAAATTTCATTCAGGCTATTTTCTATCATGTAAAACCTACTTTATTAGAAATGATGGTCCATATAATACTCAGAACAAACTTCTTCAGTTATGAAAAAAACTGGATAAATTCATGCATTTTTCCAAAAACAGAATTAGCCTATTTTTGCTTTCTAAAAGGTGTAGGGCTCAATCCCTGGTATAAAATTTTTACTAATTTTTCCAAAGATACAGAGCCATTTTTCTCTTCTCTCAAAAGGACAGAACAGTTTCAAAGTCCCTTACTTTATCTAATTTCAGTTCTGAGGGCAACGATCCCGGGACACAGGGATGGTTCTTTTTAACTCCTTTGGCATAAATTCCCTTGCATTTCAATTGAGACAAGTCCATTCTTGTGATGAGAATTTACAGTCTAGTAATCTTAAACACCAAATAAAGTATAGAATTCCCCTTTTCCAGCTGCTGAAGAGGAAGTTAATGGATTTCCAGTCACAGAAAAGAGTCTTAGAGAATCCCCTGTGGTTCTGGGCCTGGCTGGATTCTGCTGCTCTTTCTTTGATACTAAAACTACACATTGACTATCACTGGTTTCTTTTACAGATTTTGGAGGACTTTAACAAAATGAGATGATAAATGTGAAATATATCTTCTTACCTCTATCAACAATTTCAACCCCTTCTCCTTTCATCTTGCAAATCAATTTTTCTTGTAGCCTTTTTACTTCAGATTCCTTTTCTTCTAGTTGTTCTTTTAAAGATGTCAGTTCATCCTACAAGTTACAAATTCATTTAAAAATAGCAGATCATGACTGAAAAGGAACATTAAGAGAGCATATTAGCTCTTTAAATCAACAATCAGATTTTGTGAATGAAACAAATCTACAAGAATTTAGACGCGGCTGGGCGTGATGGCTCACGCCTGTAATCCTAGCATTGTGGGAGGCCAAGGTGGACGGATCACTTGAGGTCAGGAGTTTGAGACCAGCCTGGCCAACATGATGAAACCCCATCTCTGCTAAAAATACGAAAAACTAGCCGGGCGTGATAGGGCACATCTGTAATCCCAGCTACTCCTGAGGCTGAGGCAGGAGAATCGCTTGAATCGGGAGGCAGAGGTTGAAGTAAGCCAAGATTGCGCCACTGCACTCCAGCCTGGATAACAGAGGGAGACTCCGTCTCAAAAAACAAAAACAAAAACAAAAACAAAACAAAACCCCCAAAATTTACATGCAAGCATCAGAAATCAGACAAGGGCAATAAAAAGCAGGAAACAAGACTATCAGAAGGCCAGGCATGGTGGCCCATGCCTGTAATCCCAGCACTTTGGGAGGCCAAGGCGGGCAGATCACTTGAGATCAAGAGTTCAAGACCAGCCTGGCCAACATGGTGAAACTCCAACTTTACTAAAAATACAAAAAATCATCTGGAGTGGCGACGTGCACCTGCAATTCCACCTACTCCGGAGGCAGAGGCAGGGGAATTGCTTGAACCCAGGAGGTGGAGGTTGCAGTAAGCCAAGGTTGCATCACTGCACTCCAGCTTGGGTGACAGAGTGAGATTCCGTCTCAAAAAAAAAAAAAAAAAAAAAAAAAAAAAAGGATTATAAGCAGAAGTCCCATTTATAATAGTTATTGTATAATTATTTCAAGTTTCT
Source organism: Homo sapiens (assembly GCF_000001405.40). Classification (NCBI taxonomy): domain Eukaryota; kingdom Metazoa; phylum Chordata; class Mammalia; order Primates; family Hominidae; genus Homo; species Homo sapiens. Next base: position 27,146,657 of record NC_000012.12, on the reverse strand, counting down.
TTGTAATCAAATTAAAAAGAGATCTTTTAAAGAGTAATTAGGGATAGGATAGCCCTAAGGTTTAAATCTTACATCAAATTTAAAAATATGACCAAGTTAATCAAGGAAGATAATCAAATTAGAAAATTAGATACTTAGTGTCATAAAAGCAAAATAAAATGCAAATTGGAAAAGACTAGCTTGACATTTATTTGGCATTTCAAGTTGGCACTCATGCTTCCTTGACAAGCACAGAGTTTCATTCATGGGTAAGGTAGCAAGTCATGAACAACTTTAGCCAAATCAGGGAACTAAATAATTCACCCACATCACTAAGATAAAAGGACAGAATCTCCTACAACAATGGGAAAAATAAATTTAGAAAACAGTGAAGCCCTCTTTTAATTTTTAACTATAAAACTGTATATAAGATTTCAAGTCCATCCTTCTATGTACTCATGTTTAAATTTTCAGTTTCCTTTCAGTAAAGAATTAGCTTTAGCAAACAAATTTTGCTGGCTGTACTTAACACAGAAAATACAGCTATGCAATGCTAAGAAGTACAGCTTTATATTCAACATCACATTTTACTTTCAGAATCTCTAAAGATATATTTATTACATTTAGTACTATGAGAAGATGTAGTTCTCCAATGAAGTGAGGCACTTGGCCCTATAGTTTTGACTTCTAGTAGGAGCAGAGTGGACAAGTACAAAAAGTCTTCAGTAGCACTGGCAGGAAGTGTGAACCTGTTCTCACCGTGCTGCTTCTCAGCAGTCATTTCTATTCACAGTCATGATAATATCAACTGCTGTACATTTACCATCAAGAAAGTCCCTAAAAAGGAAAATGACCTCTACTGTGGATATGAAACAGAATTCTTTCACAAGCTAATGTTTACAATTATTTTACTAGGCTTGGGTCTCAGTCTAAGAGAGTGTAATTTATAAATTCTTTCATTTTACGTTTATTATTTTTCACTAATTATTTCATGTATTTCTGAAAACAACATCAGGGATCCCATTGTTCCTTCAATCAGCTTGAGGTGATTTTTAATCAACAGGTGACACACACAGAATGAATGCACATGCCACTAAAAACATCATCACAGCAAAACAACACAAGCCAGAAAGCAACAGGCCATGGACCCCATCACCCAACGTCTACTACACCTTCAGTGACTCCCATTTTTGTTCCATCTGCTGCTCTTCATACTGCATCTGACCCACCTTGATTTTCATGCTAGAAAGTTTGGCCACTAAAGACTGGCAGAGAGACAGAGGAGTGAAAGAAAACTACAGATAGAAAAAGACAAGCTAAATAACCGAGAAAACAGTATCAGTTTATAAAGGAGGTTAGATACAACTCAGAGAAAGGGCAGGTTATGTTCTGTCGGATGAGTTAAGCCTTGTTTTTAAATTCAGATCAGTGGTGTTTAAATTCAAGAAGGCTTCCAGCGTGGGGGGAACTTCATTTACTTTTAAAATACCTTCTTTATCATATACTAAGTAGAAAACATGTTATTTATATTATTAGGCATAGATGAATAGTGGAGCCATTTGTTTGAAAATGTTAACCTGTGAGAAAAACTTACTTTGGTTGATTCATGCTTTTTTTCATACTGAAGTCTCTCACTGCCCATTTCACTAACTTTTAACCTCAAATCATTGATCTCCTGAATCAGCCCCTGTCCAAGAAGAAACAAGAAAGTGCATTAGGAAAGTGGTAACACGGTTACCTATACCTATAAAATAGCAGCTTGGAAATCTTAAGTCACCAGCTCCTAGAGTTAAAGTTGAATGAATCAGATGAGATAAATGGAAATAAATCCACCTTCCTAACAACTAAAGCATTGGCTGGGCGCGGTGGCTCATGCCTGTAATCGCAGCACTTTGGGAGGCTGAGGTTGGTGAATCACTAGGTCAGGAGATCAAGACCATCCTGGCCAACATGGTGAAACCCCGTCTCTACTAAAATACAAAAAATTAGCCGGGCGTGGTGGCACACACCCGTAGTCCCAGCTATTCGGGAGGCTGAAGCAGGAGAATCGCTTGAACCTGGGAGGCAGAGGTTGCAGTGAGCCGAGATTGCGCCACTGCACTCCAGCCTGACAAAGGAGCAAGACTCTGTCAAAAAACAAACAAACAAACAAAAACATTCGTTTAAATCCCCAATGCGTCTGCCCTAAAGTGATGGGCTTATGAAAATAAAAGGTGACTGTAATTTTAAGAAAGGTAGCTTAATATCTATTATTTGTCAGATATTTCTATCCTAAAAATGACTCTATGAATGCTATTTCATAGAGTGCTATTTCTATTCTATTTTATAGAATGCTATTTCGTATTTTAAATATATCACATTCTTTAGTAAAGCCATTTACCTTTTGAAACTTCTCAGTGATACATGGGTATTTTTTTTAAATTTGTAATTTCTTCCTTTGTCCACAAAAATATGGATTGCTCATCAACTCAATATGGGAGAATGAAATGAAAATTAAATCCTTTAAGCCCATGAATCCTTAAGATTCATGAAATAGCCAGGGAAATATTTTATTTTTATTAAGTGAATGATAACAGGAACATGAGAATAGTCAAATCAGTTTTAATTTTGAGGACTATTTTAATTGTTGTCATATATAACATCACAAAGTTTCTCAACTATTCTCTAATTTTGGGGTATGTGCATACATTTTAGCAATACTGTTGAATTTTTATTAGGAGATTATCAGGGATTGAGTTTACTGTAATGACAATTTTCAACTGGAAAGTGGATGAGGGCCCTGCAGTTCATCTAATTTTATAATTCGAAAATGAAAGAGAAACCAATCCTAATGTTTACATGACACAACATGATTTTACATCTTTTCTACTACCATTTTTTATTTTATTTAGTGTCACTTTTTAAAGAACCAATTTGCTCATAAAACTTGTCCAAGTATTCTGAGAAATAATGGTGTATTTTTGTCCAGAGCCCAGAGAGTAGGAAAGGAAATTAAGAGTGTTAAGCAATATTAACTCCTCCAAAAGAGACACTCAAATACCCTGCGTGGGAGATGACTTATTTTTACTACAAGCCACAAAGATCCCTACAATGGTTACTATATTTTTGCTTCTCTCTCCCTCTTTTTTTTTTAAGATGGAGTCTTGCTCTGTCACCCAGGCTGGAGTGCAGTGCCGCCATCTGAGCTTACTGCAACCCCCGCCTCCCAGGTTCAAGATACTCTCCTGTCTCAGCCTTCACAGGAACTGGGATTACAGGCACCCACCACCACACCCAGCTAGTTTTTCTATTTTTAGTAGAGACAAGGGTTTCACCATGTTGACCAGGCTTGTCTTGAACTCCTGACCTCGAGTGACCCGCCCTCCTCGGACTCCCTAAGTGTTGGGATTACAGGTGTGAGCCACTGTGCCCAGCCAGCTTCTCTCTTTTTACAAAGACATGCATGTATTCCTGGGTCACAAATTCATAGATTACAGGACAAAATTATCCAAGAATGCCAAAAATTACAAGTAGAATAATGTTATAAGAAATAAAAGTTTGTGAATAGGGATTATTTTAAACTTCCAAATATAATGATTCAAGTTCACAAAGGCTAAGAGAAGGGATGCTATAATGAAATACACTTCCCAGTAAACCCACAGGCTTTTAAATTGTTGTCTCTTATAAAATGGGCAAAATATTACCTATCATAATTATACGATTACTCCTTAAGAGTCACTTAATAATCATACAATATTTCAATTAGATAATATATATTTTCTTCTTATGAATTAGGTCAAGAACTGTTTGACATTATTCAATAACATTTGTGATTCCTCATCTAACAGGTCAGAATTCAAGTTCAAAGAAAAAAAATCACCTTTTCCCAGTTAACTAATCATCCTTGCATAATATAAGTCCTTAGTCCTTAGTGATATTCATCAATATGATCTTTTTAAATATATATTTTCCCACTTTCTCATTGTTAAGAAATAGCAGTGAATTCCTCCTGTCTGCTATTGCTGTTTTTACTACTTCCTTTAGAAATAGTGGCAATGTGCAAAGAAGAAACAATTGAAAAAAATGGAATTATAAACTGGGATAAGTTATCTGTTTTAACAAAAACTACTCCACTATATTTCATGACAATACTTTAAATATGGTCTACATTTCCAACCCGAAATCATATCTTCCCCTGACAACACAAGCTGGAAAATCTGGAAATAGCTTTCTAATGTAAAACTTTAAAAAACAGAATACAAATTATTTCAATAAGTTCTTATCAGAAGTTCAGTCCTTTTAAGAAAGAAAATCCCTGTTCCCTTTCCCTTTTCCCTTTCAGAGAACTCCTCAGGGCTCCCGCAGGAACTCAGTCTCTGACATGTGTGCTCTTACCAGAAGGGGGCACTGTTGAATGATGCTGACCATCTCCCATTAGCAAGTACGGGGACAAGCCAAGTCCTGAATCTTCCAGTGCTCAGTCCCTTGGAAATGCCCATACTTCTTCCCCATGCCAATATTTTATTGGATATTAATATCCAAATAATCTAAACTTCTAAGAGAAAGTTAAATATTATGGACTCATGAAACACTCAGGAAAATATTTTTATTAAGGGAACGATAACAGGAACATGAGAATATTCAAGTTAGTTTAATAGTGAATGTTATTTTAATTATTTTCATATGCAACGTCACAAAGTTTACCCCATATGCTCTAATCTCTGGCTACATGTGTATATTTTAGCAATAGCACTGAATTTTTATTAGAAGATTATCAGGGATTGAGTGTACTGGAAGTTTAATAACAAAATCACTTTGTATGTGATTAAGAGTGTATGAGTGAAACGAAAAAGTGGGGAAAAAAAAGTTTGATAAAAAAGGCAGCTGAACTCAAGGGATGTAAATATTGCCCTGGGGTCTTACAAAAATAAATAAATAACACATCTACTGCAATTCAGTCCCAACATTTGGTTAGCATCTCATATCCAAATTAAGCTAACAACAGGTGAATATTTCCCCTTGACTTTGCAGACACAATGTAGAACACTACCTCTATCCATATCTACCATCAATTCTTCCCTGCAGCAGAGCTAGCTCCACTGCCATGTTGTCCATCTGTTGACTGAGTTTTACTGTTACCTTACCTAGCAACTATGGGGTAAGGACCTCACAAAAAGAGGGGAAAGAGAAAAATATCAAAAGAGATTTTTAGAGAAAATACAAAAGCAAGAATTTTAAACTGAGTAACTTTCTAAGTCTTGTTTAAGAGCCCCAGCTTCAATAAAATGAGAAACATGCTCACATAGGCAACTGACAAAGAGTTTTAAGATTAAAACATGGCTGGGCATGGTGACTCATGCCTATAATCCCAGTGCTTTGGGAGGCCAAAATGGGAGAATTGCTTGAGGCCAGGAGTTCCATACTAGCCTGGGCAACACAGTAAGATCCTATCTCTAAAAAAATTAAATAAAACATGAACCAAATGACAGATCTCCTTTTGCTACTGAGGAAGCAAGACATATACCAAGACTTTCCACTGTGATTGAATCTTTGACAGAAAATTTAATTTTGAAAATAGCAATGGAGTAAACCTTGTTATTTCCAGGTCTATAAAGGATTTTCCTGTAGTAGATAATGTATGTAATGCCCGGTACCATGCTGGCATATAGTCAGCATAAAATACATGTTTGAAATAAAAACAGAAGGGAAAAATAAATAAACCATTTTCTCTCCTCTCTCCTTGGTACCCATTTTCTAATCCAGCATGACACCTTTCCATACTCCAACCAAAGAAACAAAATAGAAAAAAGGAGGGGAGATGGCCCTCAGAGAGAGGAATTTCTGCAACTCTTTACACATCATTTCAAATGAGTAGATTTCAAACGGATATGCTCTCTCCATCCACCAAAAAAAAAAAAAAAAAAAAAAACAGAGAGGTTAAGAACTTGCCAAATGTCACACAGCAAACAAACTAGAAGGCCTGGATTAATAAAATAGAGAGAACAAACAATAAAGCTTGTTTAGCCACTAAAATGGATACTTCAAGTTATAGAATGTACCCTGAGTTTCGTAGAAGTACAGTGAGTCTTATTTAATTGGAATGATTTACATGTGGAATAGACCAAAAGTAGAAGGCCAAATTAGATGACCTCAAAAAGGCTCTGTTGTTTTGTGTTTATATAATGTAAGCATGCTTTCTATACAGATTTCAAAAATCCAATTACATAGTAAATAATCAGTGTGCTTAAATAATAACTACTAGCAAAACCATGCATTTAAGCCCATTATTTACAAAATTAAGAAAACTAGTATGAATGGATGGATGCTCCAAATATCCTAAAGTCAAAAGTATTTCTAAAGGTTGATAAAATGATTAATATTTCATATCAAAAGTCTAAAAATAAAAATTGTCATTAGCATTTTGTGATAAAAAGTCAATATAATCAAAGATTATTCTTAAAATGAAGTAGGATGAGGGCACGTAGTAATTAACCGCCTTCCTTGCACACCTCCAGAGAATTTCGACTTTGCCCTAGGAATGTACGTCTATGAGAGACAGAGTGACAGAGAGAGAGAGAGAGAGGAGAGACTGTGTCACACACCTCTGTGTCTCTGAACTTATCTTCATAATCCAATCTGTCCTTCTCTACAGCTGTCAGTTTCAACTTCAAGTTAGATATTTCAGCCATCAGATCCAACTTCTGAGTTTCTAAGGATGCCCTACTTAGAAGCTCCTATTGGAATTTAAAAGATACATTCAATAATTCTTTTATTATAAACAGCCACATGTGAATTTACCTCATTTATGATAGCACAAAGCAGCACCTATCAAGTAGAGGACGCATTAAAGTATAATTACTGAATATACATACTTTTTAAAAATTATTCACTTTAGGCCGTGCGCGGTGGCTCACGCCTGTAATCCCAGCACTTTGGGAGGCTGAGGCGGGCGGATCACTTAAGGTCAGGAGTTTGAGACAAGCCTGGACAGTATGATGAAACCTCATTTCTACTAAACATACAAAAATTAGCTAGTGTAGTGGCAGGTGCCTGTAGTCCCAGCTACTCGAGGGGCTGAGGCAGGAGAATTGCTTGAACCCAGGAGGCGGAGGTTACAGTGAGCCGAAATCACGCCACTGCACTCCAGCCTGGTCAACAAATGAGACTCCATCTCAAAAATAAGGTAAAACAAAATGAATAGACCAATAACAGGCTCTGAAATTGAGGCAATAATTAATAGCTTACCAACCAAAAAAACTCCAGGACCAGATGGATTCACAGCCGAATTCTACCAGAGGTACAAGGAGGAGCTGGTACCATTCCTTCTGAAACTATTCCAATCAATAGAAGAAGGGGGAATCCTCCCTAACTCATTTTATGAGGCCAGCATCATCCTGATACCAAAGCCTGGCAGAGACACAACAAAAAAAGAGAATTTTAGACCAATATCCCTGATGAACATCGATGCAAAAATCCTCAATAAAATACTGGCAAACCGAATCCAGCAGCACACCAAAAAGCTTATCCACCATGATCAAGTGGGCTTCATCCCTGGGATGCAAGGCTGGTTCAACATATGCAAATCAATAAACGTAATCCAGCATATAAACAGAATCAAAGACAAAAACCACATGATTATCTCAATAGATGCAGAAAAGGCCTTTGACAAAATTCAAAAACCCTTCATGCTAAAAACTCTCAATAAATTAGGTATTGATGGACATATCTCAAAATAATAAGAGCTATCTATGACAAACCCACAGCCAATATCATACTGAATGGGCAAAAACTGGAAGCATTCCCTTTGAAAACTGGCACAAGACAGGGATGCCCTCTCTCACCACTCCTATTCAACATACTGTTGGAAGTTCTGGCCAGGGCAATAAGGCAGGAGAAGGAAATAAAGGGTATTCAATTAGGAAAACGGGAAGTCAAATTGTCCCTGTTTGCAGATGACATGATTGTATATCTAGAAAACCCCATCGTCTCAGCCCAAAATCTCCTTAAGCTGATAGGCAACTTCAGCAACGTCTCAGGATACAAAATCAATGTGCAAAAATCACAAGCATTCTTATACACCAATAACAGACAAACAGAGAGCCAAATCATGAGTGAACTCCCATTCACAATTGCTTCAAAGAGAATAAAATACCTAGGAATCCAACTTACAAGGGATGTGAAGGACCTCTTCAAGGAGAACTAGAAACCACTGCTCAATGAAATAAAAGAGGATACAAACAAATGGAAGAACACTCCATGCTCATGGGTAGGAAGAATCAATATCATGAAAATGGCCATACTGCCCAAGGTAATTTACAGATTCAATGCCATCCCCATCAAGCTACCAATGACTTTCTTCACAGAATTGGAAAAAAACTAAAGTTCTTATGGAACCAAAAAAGAGCCCTCATTGCCAAGTCAATCCTAAGCCAAAAGAACAAAGCTGGAGGGATCACACTACCTGACTTCAAACTATACTACAAGGCTACAGTAACCAAAACAGCATGGTAACTGGTACCAAAACAGAGACATAGGTCAATGGAACAGAACAGAGCCCTCAGAAATAATGCCACATATCTACAACTCTCTGATCTTTGACAAAACTGACAAAAACAAGAAATGGGGAAAGGATTCCCTATTTAATAAATGGTGCTGGGAAAACTGGCTAGCCATATGTAGAAAGCTGAAACTGGATCCCTTCCTTACACCTTATATAAAAATTAATCCAAGATGGATTAAAGACTTAAATGTTAGACCTAAAACCATAAAAACCCTAGAAGAAAACCTAGGCATTACCATTCAGGACACAGGCATGGGCAAGGACTTCATGTCTAAAACACCAAAAGCAATGGCAACAAAAGCCAAAATTGACAAATGGGATCTAATTAAACTAAAGAGCTTCTGCACAGCAAAAGAAACTACCATCAGAGTGAACAGGCAACCTACAGAATGGGAAAAAATTTTTGCAATCTACTCATCTGACAAAGGGCTGATGTCCAGAATCTACAATGAACTCAGACAAATTTACAAGAAAAAAAACAACCCCATCAAAAAGTGGGCGAAGGATATGAACAGACACTTCTCAAAAGAAGACACTTATGCAGCCAAAAGACACATGGAAAAATGCTCATCATCACTGGCCATTAGAGAAATGCAAATCAAAACCACAATGAGATACCATCTCATACCAGTTAGAATGGCGATCATTAAAAAGTCAGGAAACAACAGGTGCTGGAGAGGATGTTGAGAAATAGGAACACTTTAACCCTGTTGGTGGGACTGTAAACTAGTTCAACCATTGTGGAAGTCAGTGTGGCGATTCCTCAGGGACCTAGAACTAGAAATACCATTTGACCCAGCCATCCCATTACTGGGTATATACCCAAAGGATTATAAAACATGCTGCTATAAAGACACATGCATGCGTATGTTTACTGCAGCACTATTGACAATAGCAGAGACTTGGAACCAACCCAAATGTCCAACAATAGGCTGGATTAAGAAAATGTGGCACATATACACCATGGAATACTATGCAGCCATAAAAAATGATGAGTTCATGTCCTTTGTAGGGACATGGATGAAGCTGGAAACCATCATTCTCAGCATACTATGGCAAGGACAAAAAACCAAACACCGCATGTTCTCACTCATAGGTGGGAATTGAATAATGAGAATACATGGACACAGGAAGGGGAACATCACACACTGGGCCTGTTGTGGGGTGAGGGGTGGGGGGAGGGATAGCATTAGGAGATATACCTAATGTTAAATGATGAGTTAATGGGTGCAGCACACCAACATGGCACATGTATACATATGTAACAAATCTGTATGTTGTGCACATATACCCTAAAACTTAAAGTATAATAAAAAATAAATAAATAAAAAATCATTCACTTTAGTTACTCTCCTTTGAGCAGAAATAAACACATGTCAGTTTACTTAGGGAGACATGTTATGTAGATACACATGCATAAACCATATATATATACTTCAGTCTGGTGATAACATTGATTATGATGATGATACTATGTTTGCTGTATGCCAGGCAACCGTTGTGACATACTGTTTCAATCCTCACAAAAATCTTATCAGTTAGAAATTCTTACTATCCTTAATCAAAAGATGAGGAAACTTAGTAATGGAGAGGTTAGGAACTTGCCTAATGTCATAGAGGGAAAAAAAAAAGGCACGGCAGGAATGGAAACCTACAAAGTTTTGCTCCAGTGCATACCCCATCCACAACCTTACGGAGCCTGTCCTTTGTGTTATAGATGGTGCTTATCTTTTTTCTGTTTTTTTCTTTTCTAATTTTTAATTTTGTGGGTACATAGTAGGTATATCTATTTATGGGGTACATGAGATGTTTCGATACAGGTATACAGTATGTGATAATCACATCATGGAAAACGGGGTCTCCATTTTCTCAAGCATTTATCCTTTGTGTTACAAACAATCCAGTTATATTCCTATTTTCAAATATACAATTAGATTATTATTAACTATAGTCACCCTGATGTGCTACTAAATACTAGGCCTTATTCAAACTATTATTTTGTACCCCTCCACCATCCTCCACCTCTTCCTTCATCCCTCACTACTCTGCCCAGCCTCTGGTAACCATCCTTCCACTATTTCCGTGAGCTCAATTGTTTTATTTTTAGATCCCACAAATGAGAACATGAGGTGTTTGTTTTTTTGTGCTTGGCTTATTTCACACATAATGACCTCCAGTTCCATTCATGTTGTTGCAAATAACTGAATCTCATGCTTTTTTATAGCTGAATAGTACTCCATTGTGTATAAGTACCACATTTTCTTTATCCAGTTATTTGTTGATGGACATTTAGGTTCCTTCCAAATCTTGGTGGCTGTGAACAGAGCTGCAGTAAACACGAGAGCACAGATATTTCTTCGATATACTGATTTCCTTTCCTTTGGGTATATATCCAGCAGTGGCATTGCTGGATCATATGGTAGCTCTATTTTCAGTTTTTTGAGGAACCTCCAAACTGTTCTCCAAAGTAGTTGTATGAATTTACATTCCCACCAACAGTGTACAAGGGTTCCCTTTTCTCCACATCCTTGCCAGCATTTGTTACTGCCTGTCTTTTGGATAAAAGCAATTTTAGCTGGGGTGAGATAGTATCTTGTTGTCGTTTTGATTTGCATTTCTCTGATGATCAATGATGCTGAGCACCTTTTCATATGTCTATTTGCCATTTGTATGTCTTCTTTTGAGAAATGTCTATTCAAATCTTTCGCCCATTTTTAAATCGGATTCTTAGATTTTTTACTATTATCTTTTTTTCTTAATCACAAAACATATGCTTATAGGTGAGAGTTAGGAAACCATCTGAATGCAAAGAAAGAAAATAAAAATAAGCCACAATCCTATTGACATTTTGTTCCAGATTCTAATTACATAAACACTTTATATTGTGTGCATGTGTTTTGAGACTCTACTACTCTCAATTTTTTTTTTTAAATGTGCTGGTCTAAGTGAATCAAGAAACTTACTGCTGCATCAGAGCAAACACAACATAGAAATGCAGCATCTCAAATAGTTCAGCAGGGAAATCCCATCTTGGATATGGCGTCTGCACATACCTGCTGCAGCATTTCTTCTGTGGCATTCACCTTCTCTCTGTGCTCTTCAAGACAAAACTCCAAATCTCTAATCTTCTCTCCCTCATCCTCCACCTGGTCTGTTAACATGCTTAGCTGTATTTAGAATAAAATACTGCAATGAGTGAAAAAGAATTTGGGTCCAACTGCATACATTATTTCTCTAAATGGAACAAAAAAAGGAATAATCCTACCACTCATACGATTGTAAAGAAAAAAAAATCTGAGAAGTACCAAGAAGACAGTGGTCCCTCGCATTCCTATTTATATGTTGCTTTTTGATTTAGGGAGTCCTATACAATTTTGGAGAAAATTTGTGTAGACTAGTAATGTACAATACTTTTTGGTTAAAGCCATTTCAACCATTTATGAGAGAGAGTGTGCACATCTTTTTTGCGGGCAGGGTGGAGATAGTATTAGAAGAGAGGAAAGGAAGTTAATGTTTCAAATAGAAATTACCAAGAGCTATTCAAATTCGATACTTCAAGAAGAATAAGGAAAAGAACTCAAGGAATTCAAGTTCCATGAGCTCTTTGAAGATGACTTTATATTTATGACTTTAAACTGATCACAGATGCGTTCAAAGCCAGGGAGCAACTCAATATACTCAAAGGTGCATGAGGAGCTCTTGGGCTAGTCTTTCAATTCTAGTGCTTATAGCAGATCTTTGAGTTTTTCCTCCATAATCATCACCCAGTAAATATGCTTCAATTCATTTTGCTCAATATACCAAAGAAAAATGTTTGTGAAGCATTTAAAACATCATGAAGAAGCAAACTCAAATTTAGCCCACAAGGAGGGTTCTAGTCACTGTTTTGTTTTGTCTCACACAGGGTATCATTTTTAAAACTGAAAAATTAAATATATTTACTCAGATTTCAGATTTAGAAATATAAACTTACATATATGCAGATTTTATGCTATATTCATATGTCTAAATTTCTGATATATATTAAAATATATTTTAAAGTCAGATCCAGCCAAGTGTAGTGCTACACGCCTGTAATCCCAGTTACTTAGGTGACTGAGGTAGGAAGATTGCTTGAGCCTAGGAGTTCAAGACTAGCCTGGGCAATGTAAGAAGACCTCGCCTCCAAAAAAAAAAAAAATAGATCAGATCAGATGGCACGTGAGATCAGATGACATTGCATCTGTATTCAGACTGGTCCCAGAAGAGCTGGGGTTGATTAATGGCAGCTCCTTCTAAACTGGGTGTACAAACCATCATTTTGCCCCAGTCCTCACTACTCCCTATTGGTTACAGATGGCTTACCATGCTTATTTCTATTAGCAGTCTGGTTGCTAATAGAACTGGTTTCTATTAGCAGTCTGGTTGCTAATAGAACTGGTTTCTATTAGCAGGCAGGTTGCAAGCAATCTGAATTTGTCACCCTAATTTAAAACACTCTTTGTATGCAGCAAGGAAAGAATAATATTTAAAAATCACTTGCCTGAAGAAGGAGGGATTCTTTATCATTTTCTAAAAGTGACAGCCTTTCTTGATACACATCTCCGTTCCCAGGTAGGTGTCCATTTGTCTGAAAAAGGAAATAATATGGGTAAGGCTGATCTTCTCTAAGAATGATATATTGTAGATAAATGAAAATCACAAGTGTCCTTAGTCCAAGGGGCCTGAATTGAATCTGCACAGCTGTCACTGTCAAACAGAAAATACAAGAATGCAATTTGGTTCATTTACCACAAAAGAAGTAAGACAGGCATGTTAAGCATATAAGCATGTTTTTGCCAAACTAAACATTTATTAACAAGCAGAAAATAATGACCCACAAGGAACAGTGGCTACTTGTATTCTTCACTGAGAGCAGACACACACCTGGGGCAGGCAAAGCTTTGTGAGTGTGTAGGGGGCCCCCCAAGCTGTTGAGGTCTGTCTCTCTTCCTCCAAAAGCTTAAACACTCAGGCCACAGTGACTTCCCCTGGTAGTGCAGACTAGCCTCACTTATCTGCCTTTTAACACTTTCTGTCCTGATCTTATTAACTTCTTATGAGTTTGCTTGTTCATATAATGTTACCTTCTATTCCAGGGCAGAGCCTATAAATTGTTTTGTAATCTCCCCAGCATCTGGATCAGTGCTCTGTATATATTGATGCTTACTATTTCTTCCCCTCCCTCATGCCCCACACCCTTTTTTTAAAAAAAAAATCATATTTGGGCATATTTATGCATGGTATAAATGCCAAAGGAAGTATAGACTGATTGTTTCTTCCTCAGCTGTCTCATATGCAAGTCATGAAAGAGACACATGAAGAGGCTCACAAAGAACAGAAAACCTAAAAACATCATTTTGAAATATATGCAGTAGTGTAGGTGGTATCTCTCATAATCTCAACATAACCATAAAATATGTAATCCCAATAGAATTTCCTGATTCTTCATTCAAATACAATAGAAATAAAAGCCAGTTGAAATCCAAAAGTGTTAGATAGGGCCACCCAGGGTTCAATTGAAAAAGAAAATAATACCTTCAAATTTAGAACCAGAAAAAAACAGGCATCTGTTTTTAAAATCCCATACAAGTAATAATATTTTAGAAACAGACACATTTCAGTAAGTAGGAAAAAAAAAACTGCTGTTCAGTGAGGACAAAAAGCAAAATTGGCCAAGCGTGGTGGTGCACGCCTGTAATTCCAGCACTTTGGGAGGCTGAGGATTGCTTGAGCCCAGAAGTTCGGGACCAGCATAGGCAACATGGTGAGACCCTGTCACTAAAATAAATAAATAAATAAATAAATAAATAAATAAATAAAAAACAGCCAAGCATGTGCAGTGACCCGAGATCGCGCCACTTCACTCCAGCCTGGGCGACAGAGTGAGACTCCATCTAAAACAAACAAACAAACAAACAAACAAAAAAAACCAAAAAACCGCCAAGCATCGTGGTGTGCGCCTGTGGTCCTAGTTACTCTGGAGACTGAGGGAGGAGGATCACTTGAGCCCAGGAGGTGGAGGCTACAGTAAGCCATGTTTGCGCCACTGCACTCCAGGTTGGGCAACAAAGCAAGAACTTATCTTAAGAAAAACAAAACAAAACAAAACTGATCTTTCTTCTGGTTGGAGGAAATTATAGCAAGAGGAGAGCAGTGTTTCCTCCCAAGCTACTTTGTATGATATGGAAGTGAGGTGTTCCAAAACCAGTTCTCCAAAATTAGCCCCAAATAGAAACAGATACTGAAAATTGGCTCAAAATTAGCATATTTATTTTTCTCAGTACTGTATTGATATTTACAAGCACTCATAATGCTCAAGGGTAGTTTAGTATATTAAAAGTCACTATAGGAACATAAGGCAGAATTTAAGAGTGATCAATGTTATATCCTTGTGTTAACTTAAGTAGGTAAAGACTGTTCTGTCCACCTGTGTTTATATTTCTGCCAATTTTGTTTCCTTTGCATTAAGAATGTTGGCAGTAAGATCCATTAGGTAAATACCCTATTGTCTCTATTCTTCCTTCAACTCCCACGTTCTACCTACCAGGTCACTCAAAACCTCCCCATATATGGCATGCTCTTTCACACACTACTTTTATTCCTTCTGCACGGACCGTCTTTTCCCACCCTTTCTTCTTCTTTCCCCATTCCTTAAGGTCCACCTCTATCAGGGCTTGGTCTGTGAAGTCTTCCTTGAACTCACTGTTTGCTATATGCCAGCGACAGTATCTACATGAACCTTCATTACAGCAGGCATTACTCTGAATGCACTAAGGTTAGACTTGACTGCATACATGTCTCTCTCTTCTAATAGACTCTGCATTCTTTGCAAGTAGATTTGCCTTGGCATGTGACATACAGTGGGCGATAACTAAATGTCTGTTGAATGGAAGAATGACGATAGGTGTTCAATAAACACTAGTTGAATACAAGATGACTGCAGGTTTGGTTTTGATCTGCCCTTCTTGCTTCTCAGTGGGTCTTTATTTATGTGTCCTCTATAATCTGGTATGCACGCCATGGTTGACCTCTATCTAGACTGGCTCCTTTTTCCTCCTGTACTCTCTCTTCCCACTATGTTTAGGAGGTGATCTCAGAGCCTTTGTCAGCACCACGCTCTAACCAACCGAGCTAACCGACCGCCTGATCTCAGAGCCTTTGTAATGGACAATAGTTAAGGCCATCTCGTGTGAGCTCCCTTAGACACTTTCTTCCTCAGTGCGTAATAGTATAATATATATTACCTCTTATTTCTTTCCTTTCTTTGGTCCTGCAGGCTTGGGAGAACTGATTCTTAACTCCTTCCTGAAAGCTCATCATTCCACTTCTACTTTGGAACCTTGATTTCCTGTTTTGCTGGGACCTGTAATCACCACTTCTACTTATCATTTTCCATTTCTTCCTTTTAATGAGCTTTCTTCCACTTTCCTTTACAACAACTATCCCAAGGTTTTGTACCCAACACTCCACTCACCTCCCACTCCTCCCTCTCAGATCAATCCGTCTTTCATAACCCATTTCTACCTCCTCCTCTTTACATGGTGCCATTCTCCTTTCCCCATCTACGGGCTGACCTTCTGGGTCTTGTCTTAAACTGTGTTCTTTAGTGTTTCCATCATATTCTGCCTCAGGTAGATGACTAATAATTTTATGTGAGTTGGTCACTCAGCCTAAGTTTCTCAGTGCAAAACTGTCTTACGTTTCTTTTGATTCTTCCATGGTGCTTATAAAATCCTGAGCATGTAATTTAAAATGTATTTAAGTATAAACTCTTGTTGAGTCAATCTGACTTTCAAAGCATGGAAGAGCAGCCAAAGTCACTTTACCTATCTACTTTAGCTCATGGTGCGACCTTTTATTGACCACATTCAATTCAGCTAAGTCGAAATTGGAATCAACGTGGGGATTTCAACAGTACAGTATCCAACCAATAGTGTGTATGCAGAATCAGGGAGGGAGATCTAACTCAACTATAACATTGGTACTTTGATTTAATTAAGGAACTTATGGCCTCTGCCAGGTTTTCCTGGCATGATAGGGAGAAGCACATCTAAAAAGCTTTATCTGTCATAGAATTACAGAATCTTAGAGCTAGCCAGGAACCTCACCTGGAAAATGAATTCCCTGATTCTACATGGCAGGTGCTACACATAACATCAGAATACCATCTGCTTTTCCCTTCACCATCTAAGTGGAAAGCCTTATTTTTATATCAACTTCCTTTTAATTATCAAGTATTACAATCAAGCATAAAGATGTAATAAATGTTAACATCTTTCCTTTGTGTATGTTTTAAAAGTTTTTTATTACAGAAAATTTCAAATAGATTTAAAGTAGAGAAATGAGCACAATGAAACCCCATGTACACGCCACTCCATTTCAATAGTTATTAATTTACGGAAGGTAGGAGTCTCACCTGCTGCTTTTACTTATAACATCATGCTGTGTTTTCCTTTGATTTTCTGGGTTCTATTGGTTTGCATTGGTCTACAGTTGTCTTTCCTGTTTCCCCTTTGTTTCGCTTTGTTCTTTCCTGAGCTCTGCTGTCCTGTCTAAATCCAAAATCAACATACAAGCAATGATTTGCCACTATCATGCTTATTTATTTTATAAAACAGAAGGTAATTTTGAGTGCAAGATTCCCAATTCAGAATGGTAAGTACCTAAATTAAAATGGGGAAAAGAAAACAGCCCTCTTTTTAAGGACAACAAAAATTAAAACATAGCTGGATTAGTAATACTACATATACACAAATACATGCACACATCACATTCCAGCCAGTCATTATTATACTTATTTTTAAAACTAGTTATTAAAAGTATCACACAGTTTTGATTTCATAATCCTGTTTTTAAACATTCAGTATCAAGAAAGGAAAAGTAAGGCTCAGTCCACGAAATCTCCTTTAAGTAAGCATTATCTCTAGTTACCAAAAGAAATAATTACTATGACAGCATTTTGTACTCAGAATTATACCTCTGCCACGCATGCAAACATTTCCTGCATGCCTGCTCTCCACTAGACTCTAAACTATGAGGAGAGATTGAGATAAGACTTGAATCCTTCAGCCATGAAGAGCACAGTCATATTGCATTTGAGTTCAATACCATAATAAGGCATCTTACACCACTACCGTCCGAAGAGTAAAAGAACTTGACATCAGTGATGCTGGAAACCAAGCAACCAGGCAGTGGCAGTACTCCGCTCCCCTGTCCTCTCACTGGGTGTGGTGGAATGAGGGCATGAGCTTCGCAGTGGGCAAGCGGGGAGTACATGTTTAGACTATAATATTACCCTAGTCATAGGTACACACCTAAGTCCCCTGAATTTGGGGAGGACAGAGAAAAAAGAAGGTCCCAGTGTCCCTAGAAGCGAAGCCCCAGCTCCTATCCCAGTACAGCAGCAACTTCATTCACTCAATATCTTCATTCACTCATTTATTCAACATTTGTTGAAAGCCAGCAATGTGTGACAGGATACAAAGATCTAGAGAAGGAATCTGTCTTCTACTTTGGGAAGGATAACATGAGACCAAGAAAAAGTCCCTATTGTTCTTGTCACTTTTTCTTTCTTAACTCACTTTCCTAAAGGAACAGGGAAACCTCTTTCCATTCAATCCTAACAAATACCAGTGGCCTAGGATTCCATGAAAAGCTCATCTTTTACCTCTGTAAACTAAGAATTCTGCCGATTTGGTCAATTTGTTTTTCTGTGTCTGTGAATATTTTCCATGGGAGTTTACTTGAAGACTAAGGGGAAAACTGCCTTAATTTTAGCTAGGATGTCTCAGTGAGGCACTGCATAATTCAAGATAATTGTGATCACATACTGGATACAATCTTAAGATGTACCTGGTTTGCCAAGGCCTGAGAAAATATTTCCTGGAGGCACAGATGAAAAGCAAAGCTGGTCAGAAAGCAGCAGGGATCGGAGGGTGGTAGGACGGGGACTGCTTCATGGGACTGGGAGTCGGGGACGCAGGGAGAACAGCCAGCACCCCTGCAGAGAGCATGTCCCGTGGCTGAACTCTTTTAAGTTATGAGTATTTTTATTTTTATGGTAACTTTTAAAAATATACATTTGGGATTAATATTATCTAACTTTTAATGTAAAAATAAGAGAGAAGTATATTATGATGATTTAACAGGTCAGAAGCCAGTCCAGAACATCTCATTTCCCCTGTTTACACTCTATCTATCTCATAGGTGATGATGCCTGCTTTGGCGTTACTACCATTAGTATTCACCATTAGTATTTCACTCACTTTTTTGAAAATTGTATTCTTGTAATTTCTGCTGACTTTGAGATGGCCTCATAATTAAAACTGCCAAATAGTCAGACACTTTCGGGATTTCACTACCTGATCCCCTGCTGACATGGATCAAGGTCATGATCCTCAGTTAAAAAAAATTATAAGAATGTTCTAGGGCAACTCATCAAGTTAGACCTAAAGTAAATAACTACTTGCTTAACTCAAACAATTAGACATATTTTTACATTTGCCTTCTTACATCTAGAGCTTCATAAAGCAAATAATTCTCCATTTTTAATATCTGTGTTCACACATTATAATATCTCACAATCAAAACAGAAAATTCAGCCTCAGTAATTAAACAAATATGTCATAGTCTACAGTTTTTTTTAACCACAGGAGACACACTTCTGAATTTTAAAAGAAATTTGTTCATTTCCAGAAGCCTAGAGCTACACTAATAAATTCATTCTTATAGATTTAATGTCCCTTCACTGTAACAGGCTACTAGTGTTGGTATTTTATCTCATTCAGTGTCTGATCATATGAAACAAACAGGCAGGAGCAATTAGTAGTAAAGAAATAACCTGCATCCTAGAAGAAACCAGGGGATCTCCCCGGCCCAGGCAAAATGATAATTTGAACTGCAAATGCCCAGTTGCACTAATGAAAAGGTTAGTATCCATCTTAAAGTACAGGGCCTCTCAAGTTGGCCATCATTAAACATGAATGGAACCATAATTATATATCTGTTATTATTAACAGATACATAATTATTTCCAAAAATTTTTGAATTTAAGTTTTTCTAAAATATTCCAGAAGCTTCTCTTCAGTCTGAGAAACGTTTGCACTCTTTTGTCACAAGAAGTGAACTATGTATGGGTAGTTTGTAACTTTATTCCCCTTGTAACTGGACCTAATTCTCTTTCCCTCATTGCAAAGGGATGCTGTTAAACATTTTCCCTCTATTCTCTACACTCTACTCTTCAGTATTACCTCTCTGACTAGCCTTTTTTCCAGGTGTATTCATAAGCCCTCAGCATACATTAGTTCATAGGATCCTTACAATACTAAGTGGCAGTAACAATCATCCCCATTTTACAGATGAGAAAACCAAGACACAGAGCTTCAGACATTTTCACAAGGTCATACAAGCTTTGAAGAGTTAGGGCCAACGTTAAAATTCAGGTCTGCTGTCACTACAGCCTGCATTTGAAACTGCATAGATATAATCCTGCCTTATCATTCACTGCTTTCTTTTTTAAAACATCATAATCTCTTTTATTTGGGCAGTTTTCCCATGTTCAATATGAAGGGGGAATTTGCTAGGATTCTGTGTTCCTTAAATTCTAAGACGCCATCAACTTTAATTTTTTATTGTGGTAAAATATATATGTAAAATTAACCATCTTAACCATTTTAAAGTGTATAGTTCAGTGGTAGTAAGCACATTTACATTGTTTTGCAGCCATCACCATCGTCCATGTAAATAACTCTTTTCATCTTGCAAAACTGAAATTCTATGCACAATAAGTATTATCTTCCCATTCCCTGCTCCCCTCAGCTCCTGGCAGCTACCAATCTATTTTCTGTCTCTAAAATTTGACTATTCTAAGTATCTTATTAATAAAAAAAGGAAAGAAGGGAGAGAGGAAGGGAGGATGGATCTGAGCTAAAATGTATACACATCCCCATTTTAAGATCATAAAACACAGCCCAACTTCTGAAATATTAAATTGGAAAAATCTAATATTATCAGCAAATCACTAAATTATAAGCATATAATCTTCTACTTGTTGGATTCCCAATGCTGGCCCAAATTCCTTTTTGGTTCTAAAATAAAGTCTATCGTGGTAGGTGTGTGGTGACAACTCAATTTCACACCTATGCTTTTATGGTTCCAAACAGCCAGTCCTGCTCTTTTTGCCTTTTGCTGTTTTTCTTCTTTCATCCTGTCATTCTCTGTGTGCTTGAGAAAACACACTTAATTTGGAAGGTTGGGGTCAAGGTGAGGAATTCATATAGATAAGTTAGATAGATATAAATAAATTTAGCAACAGCAACAAAAGTCCCTTATCTCTCTGGATCTACATCTAGTTTATTTTGTTATTGTTACTTTTAGGATAAAAACCGAATCTTCATTAGTTCTGTAAAATATCTGTCATTTTGTGGATTCTCAAAGTTAAAATGTCAAATAGTAAGAGAGAAAGCAACTGAAAACACAGATCAACAAGCCATTACCCATCCAAGGAATAAATTTAAAACAACTTCCATTCATTCAAACATGCAATCCACTTTATCATTCATGGAGCATCATTCATTACAAATATAACTACTGAGCCAGGCATTCTTCTAAACACCAGGGATACAGTAAATTTTTAAAAATAATGGCAAAAATTGGATTCATGATGCTTACATTCCAGTTGAAAAGACAGAAAATAAATGATATAAACATTACAAATACATTGCACATAAGAAAGTGGTGAATGCTAAGAACAAAATAAAGCAGGGAGATGTAAGACAAAGAATAAATGGGTATAATTTTAGTTAGGGTGGTGATACAAGGCCTAACTGAGATCACAACTTTTGAGTAAATACCAGAAGAATGTGAGGGAGCTAGCCATGCAAATATCTAGGGACAGAGCTTTCCAGGCAGAGTGAAAAGCCAGTGCCTGGAAAAGCCAGTGCAAAGGCTCTGAGGCCAGTGTACCTGGCATGTTTAAGAATCAGTGAAAAAGCCACTGTGCTTGGCGTGGAGCGAATAAGGAGATGTGTGACAAGAGATGAAGTCAGAAAGTCATGGGGAGCAAATCCTACGAGGCCTTGCAGCCCACAGTAAGCACTGTGGTTTTTACTCTGAGTAAGATGTGATGCCATTGGTAGTTTCTGAAAAAAGGAGTGAGTGTCATGATCTAACTTATATTCAGATGTAACCATCATTACTTTTTATCATTTCTGAAAATACTTTCACAGAACAGATTAAGCACATGTTAATGGACATGTTTTAGACACATGTCAAAAGCTGAACTACAGGTACGCTTCGGCTACTATTGCCATTGGTGGCCTCTGGGTGTGGGATAGAAATACGTTCTTCTAACAATAGTAAATTCCTTTTTCACTGCATGCTAAATGGTCAGAAGAACATGGAGTAAAGAAGGGGTGAGATAGGACATTGAAATAGACTAAGGAATATGTCAGGAAACACCAAGTACAGAGCATGAAGCAATCCCTAAAGAAATCAGCAAACCTGGACCCTTAAGTCTCTGGAGGAGAAATCTGTAGAGCAAATAGAAAGTATAATAGTAAGGCATTATGTGTTTTAACAAGTAAAATAACTCCAGTTTGTATAGCTGCACCCCCACTAAAGGATAGATTGTACTATTCGCTCTCAGAAACGCAGAGGTAAACCAGGTGGGAACACAGAGTATTCAGCACAGGACTGGCTGGGAGCTCTAATATTTGTGTCACATCATATGAAAATGTTTTAGCTGTAGGATGTACTCTTAAGGTTCCCAAAGCAAGCAGTTTTCATGTCTACCACAGATCCAAAAGTAGATCACAATTCTTTCATACGATTCTCATTAGTTTTGATATAAACACAGTTAACTCATAAGCATATGAGTGCATCTTACTGAAAATTGAATATCCTTTAGGCACAAAATATCTCCTTTCCTCTGTCCTCCACTGAATCTGTTTTTGTGACACTATTTAGATTTTATGTGTCCATCACAGATTAAAAGCATGGTATTTACCACTGTATCGAGACAAAGGGTAGCTCTGCCACATCATCAATTTTTGAGAAGGATGCCTAGAAAGAGGCCTCGTTGTTTAGTGAGTAACACCATTAACCCATTTATGCTGGAGGTTGCTAATTTTTTTGTGAAAAATCAGAACTGGGCGATGACATTGAGCAGTAGGATATAAATAACTCCCACAAGCTTAGCGTTCCAATAATGGAACACTACGCATAAATGGGTTAAAGGCCCAATTCCCCAATTTAATTCAAGAACTGGAACTGAAATGATTGAAATAAACCACCAGATGGCACTTCAGGTCAAATACTTAACCCCTGTGGCTTTTGAATGTCTTTCATTATGCTTTCCATGTAGCATTGCTATTGAGTCCTTTATAGTGAATAACCCAATATGACTGAGAAATCATCAATTATGTGCAAGATTCTTTCCCTTAAAGGACTATTTGATTTAAGCCACAGTAGGTCATTCAGGCACAATCTAAAAGCCAGTCTGTTTTTATGGGCAGAATCAGGTGACCTGTTGTTGGTATTTACAAAATGTACACTAATAGCACTTTTTAAAAAGTTATTCTTAGAGTCGAAAGAAAATTAAGATATCTTAAGGAATAAAATAGAGCACATCTGTTGCCCTATACTTTTTTTTTGTTCTAATCAGCTATTCTATGTTCTAAATTTTGGAATAAGCAACAAAAGATTCATAATACAGAATTTGTAACAGGCAGACACCTACCATTTGACTTTGAAACCATTCAATTAGCATTTCTACTGTTGAATCTGGGAACTGGCAGCTCAAGTCTTCTTTCTCATCTGTTTCCATCATCTCTAATAATCCACGCAGGTCTTCCACAAGGTGCAGGGCTCACAAACTTCCCATGGATGGAGAGGTGGGAGATTGGCAACCAAAAATCCCACTGGAATATTCCAGGGCCTTAGAACCTAAGTTAAACAAAATCACAGAGAAAGCAATGGGATTTATGTTATATAAAACACCAAAGCTGAAGGTGGTAAACCAGTCTAGTCACAGTAAGGAACAATCAAAAGAAACAGAAAAAAGAAAATTCAATCACATAAATCTCTCCAAGTCAGATTTACGTGGTGTAAAAATTAAAACCATGTAGTTGATGGTAAATATCCATGGTCCAGTTCCCAACAAGGAGGCCAATCATGGGGTATAGAAAGAAGAAGAGCCGGGTGGGCTTTGGTGTGAGGTGTGCTGGCCTCGTGGAGATCATGAATAAGAAAGTGGCAGATCAGAAAATACAAATATTAGAGCTGGTCCATTCCGGACCAATACTGGAAATTCTGGCTTAGAAAAACTGTGGATGAAGGGTTATGAAATGAACTCAGATAAAGACTATTAGAGTAAATTCCAAGGAAAGACAATGAGCTCAATGTGTTAAATGATTATATTGATGTGCCTATAGGACATTTCCAGAGAGATATCTGGTTGGAAATTAGAGATAGGGACTGGAAGCTTAGCAAAGAATTGGGAAGGTAAATAAATGTGAATAAGCTGGGTGCAGTGGCATGTGCCTGTAATTGCAGGTACTTGAGGTGGGAAGATTGCTTGAGCACAGCATTTCAAGGCTGCACTATGCATGTTATTCACAGGCAATCATGCCTGTAAATAGCCACTGCACTCCAGCTTGAGAAACAGAGCAAGACCTCCACTCTTAAAAAAAAAAAAAAACAGACATGAGAGTCATTGGTGGAAAGTGAATTTTGAATTCAAGAAAACAGATCAGAACATTCATGTTCACTGGGTAGAGAAATGTCCCTCAAAGTGTGGTCCACAGACCACCTACACCAGAATCACCTGAGATGCAGATTCTTTTTCCTTGATTAGAAATCTAGGATGGAACTGGAATTTTTGATATTTTAAAATAATGTTTGAGAATAATGCTGGTAGAAAATGGAGAAGAGGAACAAAGATGAAATTACAGGGAAGCAAAAGGCATAGGGCTAAAAAATGAAAATAAAGTGAAAAGATAATATGAAAGTTGTAGTGAAAAAGCCAAATGAGCAGAGTAAATGTTGTGATTCTGTCTTTCACAGGACGCAGATCACCTGCTATGATACCATCCATCTGCTCCAACGTCGCAGCCAATATGTCACTTGCATCACTCATCATTTTCTTATTTGTCAGGGGCAAATTCCAACCCAGATCTGAAAAAAAAGTTATCATTACATCCATTAATGACATAGGCTTGCTAGTGGGTTTCCTAATTCACCTTCAAATGATAACTCTGCTGTGTAGTCAAATATGGAGCAAAAACTTCAGTAGTGGAGTAGCAAGCTGTGGCCAATCACCTACTGTAGCACAAGACCACATGCGATACCTATATCAGTTAATAAAGAAGATTCCATTCTTGCACTTGAGGTGTTTAAAATCCACTAGCATGGTTTCCATGCTGTTCTCTAGAACTCTAGACCTCTGTAAAGGGCAACAGGGATGGCCATGGAAGCTTGCTGAGGGCCATGACAAGCACTGGCCAGACAAGACTCCTTTCTCCCTTTACCAGCCTCACCCAATCTCTGTTCTCTTAATTTTGTTTTTTTTTTCTTTCTGTATAAGGGCTTAAGACTTGTCTAAGAAAAGGATTCACTAACACATATACTAAATGTACATATACACACAGACAAACACACACATACACCCCTACTGATACTAAACATTTTGTAGTGGAGCCATAGCTATCACATACTGAGTGCCTATAGTGTTTCCTACACATTTACATAAATTATCCATAATCCTTAGTCAACAGCTCTATAAAATGTGTAAATTCATCTCCATTTTATAAATGGGGATCAAAGATGTTTGATTTTTGCATGAAAACACAGGAAAGTAAATATAGCCAAATTCAGTTTCTAACCTGGGTCTGTCTGACTTCCACTATAATACATAATTTGTTTACCTGATCCTATGTGAAGATGAATTGAGGCTGAAATTATGTCACAATCTACACATTGGTTTACTGTTAAAAACTATACTGAGATAATGCTTGCAAAAAATTTGGTCATCGACAGGAAAAAGTCAAGACAATGTGATTTTCAACATTCACTAATGCATTTCAGGTACCAGACTAAGCACCCGAATAAAGCTCTTACTATGTTATAGATACTGTGATAGAGCAAACACCTGGGGAATAAAGGGCACATGCTGTTTCACAGAAACCTTTGCCCTCTGTTTCTAAGCAGCCAAATCTCACCACTTTATTTTCACAAATATATTTATAGTTCTCGTACCAGCTTCTTGGATGAGTTTCCAATTATGCATTCATTCTAACATAATGCCATATAATTGTTGTAAAATATTATTTTGATTTAAAGTCATTTCACCTAAGGATTTTCCAGAACTTTACTGACTTCCAAAGGTGAAAAATATCACCACCATTTATTGTGGAAATACTACAGCATGAAAATACTCAATTTATGTGTCTACAGTTACCCAGAAAACAAGGAATCAACAAGTTAGGTTATGAACCTAGGTCATTCTAAAAAATTTACTCACACACTCAGCCAGTGCACCATCCAAAGAAGTAGGACACACATTTAATAACCACACTCCAGTATGGGAAACTCAAAACATGAAAACTGAGAGCATAAAGGATCAAGCTGAATTACATAATTAAGTGGCTTGCATTCTCTTTCATTTAAAAAGTATTTTGCAGTTCCGTTCCAAGAAGGCCGAATAGGAACAGCTCTGTCTGCAGCTCCCAGCATGATCAATGCAGAAGACGGGTGATTTCTGCATTTCCAACTAAGGTACCTGGTTCATCTCATTGGGACTGGTTGGATAGTGGGTGCAGCCCATGGAGGGCGAGGCAAAGCAGGGCTGGGCATCGCCTCACCCGGGAAGTGCAAGAGGTCAGGGGATTTCCCTTTCCTAGCCAAGAGAAGCCATGACAGACTGTACCTGGAAAAACGGGACACTCTCGCACAAATACTGTGCTTTTCCCATGGTCTTAGCAACCGGCAGACCAGGAGATTCCCTCTCATACCTGGATTGGTGGGTCCCATGCCCACGGAGCCTTGCTCACTGGCTAGCAGCAGTCTGAGATTGACCTGCAAGGCTGTAGCCTGGCTGGGGGAGGGGCGTCTGCCATTGCTGAGGCTTGAGTAGGTAAACAAAAGTAGCCAAGGGAAGCTTGAACTGGGCAGAGCCCACTGCAGCTCAGCAAGGCCTACTGCCTCTATAGACTACACCCCTGGGGGCAGGGCATAGCTGAACAAAAGACAGCAGACTTCCACAGACTTAAACGTCCCTGTCTGAAAGCTCTGAAGAGAGCAGGGGCTCTCCCAGCATGGTGCTTGAGCTCTGAGAATGGACAGACTGCCTCCTCAAGTGGGTCGCTGACCCCCATGTAGCCTAACTGGAAGACATCTCCCAGTAGGAGCTGACAGACACCTCATACAGATGAGTGCCCCTCTGGGATGAAGCTTCCAGAGGAAGGATCAGGCACCAATATTTGCTGTTCTGCAATAATTGCAGTTCTGCAGCCTCTGCTGGTGATACCCAGGCAAACAGGGTCTGGAGTGGACCTCCAGCAAACTCCAACAGACCTGAAGCTGAGGGACCTGACTCTTAGAAGGAAAACTAACAAACAGAAAGGAATAGCATCAACATCAACAAAAAGGACATCTACACCAAAACACCATCTGTAGGTCACCAACATGAAAGACCAAAGGTAGATAAAACCACAAAGATGGGGAGAAACCAGAGCAGAAAAGCTGAAAATTCTAAAAACCAGAGCACCTCTTCTCCTCCAAAGGATCATAGCTCCTCGCCAGCAACAGAACAAAGAATGACTTTGACAAGTTGACAGAAATAGACTTCAGAAGGTTGGTAATAATAAACTTCTTTGAGCTAAAGGAACATGTTCTAACCCATCACAAAGAAGGTAAAAACCTTGAAAAAAGGTTAGATGAATGGCTAACTAGAATAAGGAGTGTAGGGAAGACCTTAAATGACCTGATGGAGCTGAAAACCATGGCATGAGAACTTTGTGATGGATGCATAAGCTTCAATAGCCAATTCCATCAAGTGGAAGGAAGGGTATCAGTGATTAAAGATCAAATTAATGAAATAAAGCAAGAAGACAAGTTTAGAGTTTTTTCTCTAAAAACTCTAAAGTAAAAAGAAACGAACAAAGTAAAAAGAAACAGAAAAGAAACTCTAAAGTAAAAAGAAACGAACAAAGCCTCCAAGAAATATGGGACTATGTGAAAAGACCAAATCTACGTTTGATTGGTGTACCTGAAAGTGATGGGGAGAATGGAGCCAAGTTGGAAAACACTCTGCAGGATACTATCCAGAAGAATTTCCCCAACCTAGCAAGGCAGGCCAACATTCAAATTCAGGAAATACAGAGAACACCACAAAAATACTCCTCGAGAAGAGCAACTCCAAGACACATAATTGTCAGATTCACCAAAGTTGAAATGAAGGAAAATATGTTAAGGGCAGCCAGAGAGAAAGGTCGGGTTACCCACAAAGGGAAGCCCATCAGACTAACAGCTGATCTCTCGGCAGAAACCCTACAAGCCAGAAGAGGGTGTGGGCCAATATTCAACATTCTTAAAGAAAAGAATTTTCAAGCCAGAATTTCATACCAGCCAAACTAAGCTTCATAAGTGAAGGAAAAATAAAATCCTTTACAGACAAGCAAATGCTGAGAGATTTTGTCACCACCAGGCATGCCTTACAAGAGCTCCTGAAGGAAGCACTAAACATGGAAAGGAACAACCAGTACCAGCCACTGCAAAAGCATGCCAAATTATAAAGACCATCAATGCTAGGAAGAAACTGCATCAATTAACGGGCAAAACAACCAGGGAACATCATAATGACAGGATCAAATTCCCACATAACAATATTAACCTTAAATGTAAATTGGCTAAATGCCCCAATTAGAAGACACAGACTGGCAAACTGGATAAAGAGTCAAGACCCATCAGTGTGCTGTATTCAGGAGACCCATCTCATGTGCCAAGACACACATAGGCTCAAAATAAAGGGATGGAGGAAGATCTACCAAGCAAATGGAAAGCAAAAAAAAAAGCAGGGGTTGCAATCCTAGTCTCTGATAAAACAGACTTTAAACCTACAAAGATCAAAAGAGACAAAGTAGGCCATTACATAATGGTAAACGGATCAACTCAACAAGAAGAGCTAACTATCCTAAATATATATGCACCCAACACAGGAGCACCCAGATTCATAAAGCAAGTTCTTAGAGACTTATAAAGAGACTTGGACTCCCACACAATAATAGTGGGAGACTTTAACACCCCACTGTCAACATTAGACAGATCAAGGAGACAGAAAGTTAAAAAGGATATCCAGGACTTCAGCTCTGCACCAAGAAGACCTAACAGACATCTACAGAACTCTCCACCACAAATCAACAGAATATACATTCTTCTCAGCACCACATTGCCCATATTCTAAAATTAATCACATAATTGGAAGTAAAGCACTCCTCAGCAAATGTAAAAGAACAGAAATCACAACAAACTGTCTCTCAGACCACAGTGCAATCAAACTAGAACTCAGGATTAAGAAACTCACTCAAAACTGCACAACTACAAGGAAGCTGAACAACTGGCTCCTGAATGACTACTGGGTAAATAACGAAATGAAGGCAGAAATGAAGATGTTCTTTGAAACCAATGAGAACAAAGACACAATGTACCAGAATCTCTGGGACACATTTAAAGCAGTGTGTAGAGGGAAATTTACAGCACTAAATGCCCAGAAGAGAAAGCAAGAAAGATCTAAAATTGACACTCTAACATCACAATTAAAAGAACTAGAGAAGCAAGAGAAAACAAATTCAAAAGCTAGCAGAAGGCAAGAAATAACTAAGAGCAGAGAAGAACCAAAGGAGATAAAGACATAAAAAACCCATCAAAAATCAATGAATCCAGGAGCTGGTTTTTTGAAAAGATCAACAAAATTGATAGACCACTGACCACTAGCAAGACTAATAAAGAAGAAAAGAGAGAATAATCAAATAGACGCAATAAAAAATGATAAAGGGGATATCACCACCGATCCCACAGAAATACAAACTACCATCAGAGCATGCTATAAACATCTCTATGCAAATAAACTAGAAAATCTAGAAGAAATGGATAAATTCCTCAACACATACACCCTCCCAAGACTAAACCAGGAAGAAGTTGAATCTCTGAATAGGCCAATAACAGGCTCTGAAATTGAGGCAATAATTAATAGCTTATCAACCAAAAAAAGTCCAGGACCAGATGGATTCACAGCCGAATTCTACCAGAGGTACACAGAAGAGCTGGTACCATTCCTTCTGAAATTATTTCAATCAATAGAAAAAGAGAGAGTCCTCCCTAACTCATTTTATGAGGCCAGCACCATCCTGATACCAAAGCCTGGCAGAAACACAACAAAAAAAGAGAATTTTAGACCAATATCCCTGATGAACATTGATGCAAAAATCCTCAATAAAATACTGGCAAACCGAATCCAGCAGTGCATCAAAAAGCTTATCTACCACTATCAAGTTGGCATCATCCCAGGGATGCAAGGCTGGTTCAACATATGCAAATCAATAAATGTAATCCATAACAAAAACAGAATCAACAACAAAAACCACATGATTATCTCAACAGATGCAGAAAAGGCCTTCGATAAAATTCAACAACGCTTCATGCTAAAAGTCTCAATAAACTAGATATTGATGGAACATATCTCAAAATAATAAGAGCTATTAATGACAAACACACAGCCAATATCATACTGAATGGGCAAAAACTGGAAGCATTTCCTTTGAAAACCGGCAGAAGACAAGGACGCCCTCTCTCACCACTCTTACTCAACATAGTGTTGGAAGTTCTGGCCAGAGCAATCAGGCAAGAGAAAGAAATAAAGGGTATTCAATTAGGAAAAGAGGAAGTCAAATTGTCCATGTTTGCAGATGACATGATTGTATATTTAGAAAACCCCATCGTCTCAGCCCAAAATCTCCTTAAGCTGATAAACAATTTCAGCAAAGTCTCAGGATACAAAATCAATGTGCAAAAATCACAAGCATTCCTATACACTAATAACAGACAGAGAGCCAAATCATGAGTGGACTCAGCATTTACAATTGCTAAAAAGAGAATAAAATACCTAGGAATTCAACTTACAAGGGATGTGAAGGACCTCTTCAAGAAGAACTACAAACCACTGCTCAATGAAATAAAAGAAGACACAAACAAATGGAAGAACATTCCATGCTCATGGATAGGAAGAATCAATATCATGAAAATGGACATACTGTCCAAGGTAATTTATAGATTCAATGCCATCCCCATCAAGCTACCAATGACTTTCTTCACAGAATTGGAAAAAAACTACTTTAAAGTTCATATGGAACCAAAAAAAGAGCCCGCATTGCCAAGACAATCCTAAGCAAAAAGAACAAAGCTGGAGACATCACTCTACCCGACTTCAAACTATACTACAAGGCTACAGTAACCAAAACAGCATGGTACTGGTACCAAAACAGAGATATAGACCAATGGAACAGAACAGAGGCCTCAGAAATAACACCACACACATACAACCATCTGATCTTTGGCAAACCTGACAAAAACAAGAAATGGGGAAAGGATTCCCTATTTAATAAATGGTGCTGGGAAAACTGGCTAGCCATATGTAGGAAGCTGAAACTGGATCCCTTCCTTACACCTTATACAAAAATTAATTCAAGATGGATTAAAGACTTAAATGTTAGACCTAAAACCATAAAAACCCTAGAAGAAAACCTAGGCAATACTATTCAGGACATAGGCATGGGTAAGGACTTCATGACTAAAACACCAAAAGCAATGGCAACAAAAGCCAAAATAGGCAAATGGGATCTAATTAAACTAAAGAGCTGCTGCACAGCAAAAGAAACTGCCATCAGACTGAACAGGCAACCTACAAAAGGGAGAAAATTTTTGCAATCTACCCATCTGACAAAGGGCTAATATCCCGACTCTACAAAGAACTTAAACAAATTTACAAGAAAAAAAAAACCCAATCAAAAAGTGAGCAAAGGATATGAACAGACACTTCTCAAAAGAAGACATTTATGCAGCCAACAGACACATGAAAAAACGCTCATCATTACTGATCAGAGAAATGCAAATCAAAACCACAATGAGATACCATCTCACACCAGTTAGAATGGTGATCACTAAAAAGTCAGGAAACAACAGACAATGGAGAGGATGTGGAGAAATAGGAATGCTTTTACACTATTGGTGGGAGTGTAAATTAGTTCAACCATTGTGGAAGACAGTGTGGCGATTCCTCAGGGATCTAGAACCAGAAATACTATTTGACCCAGTGATCCCATTACTGGGTATATACCCAAAGGATTATAAATCATGCTACTATAAAGACACATGCACACGTATGTTTAATGCAGCACTATTCACAATAGCAAAGACTTGGAACGAACCCAAATGTCCATCAATGATAGACTGGATTAAGCAAATGTGGCACATATACACCATGGAATACTATGCAGCCATAAAAAAGGATGAGTTCATGTCCTTTGCAGGGACATGGATGAAGCTGGAAACCATCGTTCTCAGCAAACTATCACTAGGACAGAAAACCAAACACTGCATGTTCTCACTCATAGGTGGGAACTGAACAATGAGAACACTTGGACATAGGGCGGGGAACATCACACACTGGGGCCTGTCGGGGGTGGGGGCCTGGGGGAGGGAGAGCATTAGGACAAATACCTCATGTAAATGACGAGTTGATGGGTGCAGCAAACCAACATGGCACATGTATACCTATGTAACAAACCTGCATGTTGTGCACATGTACCCTAGAACTTAAAGTATAATTTTAAAAAAGTATTTTGTATAGATACATTTATGTATGTGTATACATAAAACAAAGGGACACATACCAGGCTCAACTATAAACATGGGAATACCAATAACACAAAGTAATGCCCATATTAGAAATACATATCATCTCACTAAATTAGAAAAAAAATTCATCTTTGTTAGCAACTATATTTTGTGTAGAGCATGAACACTTTTTCAAGTCTGATAGGTATAATAGTTATCGAGTTCTTCTCTGTTCTGTTCAATGAGCCTTTCAAATGCTATTACATGAAGGTATGAGACAATCTACACCATGCTTTTCAAAGTAGTGAAGAACTAGTTCTTAAAAAAATTTCCAGTTCATTGGAGACCAATCCCATCATTTAATAAAAATATTATGACAATGTTTAAATTGCTTTGAAAGTTCAAAATGCTAACTCTTAATCTCTATATTTATCATGTAGCAACCTACATGCACCAGTAAGGGAAAGACAGTACATACAAGTAATAAACACGTATGTAACATGGCGAAGGTGGTAGGTGCTAAGAGGAAAAAATGGAGTAGGATAAGGGGGCCCAATTTGGAAGGCTTTCCAAATTAAACAGGTAGCCAGGTACTGGTGATAGAATCAAAGGCCAAAGATTTCTCTAATAAGTCAAAAGTAGTCAAATATAAGTGGTCCAGTTCAGTGGTATTCCAAGTGTAGAATTCCTAGAAATCAAGGAAAAAATGGGAGGCATGAGGATATGAACAATCATTTGGCAGAAGAAATGTTTTCAACCAATAAAAATATGAAGAGGTGCTTAATATCATTAATAAATGAGGAATCTAAAGGAATGTGATAATGTTTTATACCCAATTAGTGAAAAAAATTGACATAGCCAAGTGTTGTAGAGAATACGAATTCACGGAATCTTTACTTTTTGTTTATTTTTTGAGACAAGGTCTCACTATGTTGCCAGTTGGCTGGTCTTGAATACCTGGGCTCATACAACCCTCCAGCCTCAGCCTGGATTTTATCAGGCTGATTTTATCAGCCTGATAAAATCAGCTCAATTTTACTAAATCCAAAGGCAGTAATGAAGGAACAATAGACACACAGGAGAAAGAAAAATCAATAGCCAAGGTGGTAGACTTAAACTGAAGCATATAAATAATCGGATTAAGTATTGCATAAGTTGGAGCTAAGCCATGGGTATGCAAAGGCATACAGAGTGGTATAATGGACAGTGGAGACTCAGAAGCAGGGAGAGTGAGAGGGAGGTAAGGATGAAAAACTACCTATTAGGTACAATGTTCACTATTCAGGTGACAGGAGCCCTAAAATCTCAGACTTCCACTATACAATTCATCCATGTAACCAAAGCCACTTGTACCCCTAAAGCTACTAAAATAAAACAATTTTTTAAATAACTTTTAAAAATTACATTAAGTAAAAATGCAATAAACACTGATAAGAGCCAGAGATCATCAGATTAGTTTTTTAAGTCCTAATTACGTGCTGTTAATAGAGACTTTAAATATAAAGAAATATAATAGTAAAAGGATGAAAAATGAGATAACATACATATGTAAGCACAGGAAAGCAGGAGTGGGTATATTACGAAACTACAAATCAGGAAGTATGACTAGAAAGAAAGATATTTTACAATGATAAGTGTTAATTCATCAGGAAGTCATAACAAGCACAAATGTTTTTGCAACTAGTAATAGAACCTCCAAATACATGAAGCAAAAACTGATAGTGTTAAGGGAGAATTAGACAAATTTAATCCACTTATATTTAACATAATATAAATATGATTGACCTGGTTGGATTTAAATCTACTGATAAGGTTGGATTTAAGTCTATTGCCCTGCTATTTCTTTTCTGTTTGTCCCATCTATCACTTGTTCTTTTTCAACCTTCTTTTGAATTGACAGATATGGTAGGAAAAAAAACTCAGTAACACACAAGATTTGAAAATATTATCAACCATCTTGACCTAATTCAATTTATAGAACAGAACACCCAAAGGCAGAATATACATTCAAGTCTACACATTATATTCACCAGGATAAGGCATATACGCAAGGCCACAGAATCAGTTTCGATAAATTTCAAATGGGTTTTAAAGAACTACACAGAAGAATAAGAAACACACAACCTGATGTGGTGAAGTACTAAGAACAGACCGTCCATATTTATTAAAATTCTGCCTTGCCCGTGGTTTGAGCTATTTTAGAGGCAGCCTAATTTATTAGGCATCTGTGTTGATAAAGCTATGTTAATTTTCAGGGCTAGGTCAACGTATTTTTAAAAATGAAAAGGCTAAATAAAAAAGCTTTAGAAAATCCCCTGGTCTCTAAAAAGACTTTCTTAACTCTTCATAAATATTTCTGAGAGGAAGATTCCCTGGGCTTCCTCACATAATTAACACAATGAAATATCATTCTAATACGATGGAATATTATTCTACAGTAGAGAGATGGAACAAATAATACATGCAACATTATGTTGAGCAAAAGAAGCCAGACAGAAAGGACCATGTACTGTATGATACTTTTATATGAAATTCAAGAACAGGCAACCTATGATAGAAGGTAGAGCAATAATTACTTACAGAAAATGGTGAGTGACTGAAAGGAGACACCAGTGGAATTTCTGGTTAATATCTTGATTGAGATATAAGTTACACAAGTTTATACATTTGCCAATGTATAAACTTTGGCAATTGCTCATCAAACTATGCAATGGTCTTTAAAGCTTGTCAGGCATTAAGAATCCCAATGTCAATCCCATTTAAGTTCTTTATTTTAACTAGGAAGGAACCATTCATTGTTGGCTAAATATTGAAAGCATAAAATTCATTTAGAACTAAATTAATTGGGAATGCCTTTGAAACAGATGAATTAATAATACTGTTTAGCTTCTAACTGAGGCAGATGTAATTGGTGCCCTCTGTAATTCCATGCATGCCAGCCCAACTTTTAACTGTCCAAGATTTCAGGGAGCCCTCTGCCATTGCATGTGGTGATCTGAAAATGCCAGAGAATTAATGTCCCTTTAATATTTAAAGTTATCAGCTTTAAATATTCCAGCACACTTTCCCCCTAGAAAGAGCTAATTCTGATTCATGTAATCTACATTGGTTCCCAGAATTATCTAGACAATTAAGATCTACTCAGAGTGGTAACCTGTTTGATAATGCATCACTTATGAGTTATCTTCTTTATTTCTCTAAGTCTTTCCTAGGATTACTTTCCAAATAAAACTTTTGTATTTGAAAAATTAGGAAAGAGAAGTTGATGGTTAGAAATTAGAAATATAAATCCCATTTAAAAATGAACTAAATAAATAATAAATGAGGTCGGACATGCATGGACCTCTGCACCTTAGACTATAATGACAATATGTCACGAATCAAGGATCATGAATAATCCAATTATATGAACCTATGGTCCAAAATAAAAGGCTCAGAATATCCAGCTCCATTTCTTCCCATTATTTGCTTACCCAGAAACCTGCTAGTTATAACTGAGTCCTTTGGGTGGACAAACCACTTAGAAAATTACAACTTTGCCATCCAAGCCAGGCAAAGTGGCTCACACCTATAATCCTGCTACTGTGGGAGGCCAAGGCAGGAGGGTCGCTAGAGCCCAGGAGTTTGAGACCAGCCTGGGCCACATAGTGAGACCCTGTCTCTACAAAAAATAATACAAAATAAGCTGGGTGTGGTGGCATGTGCCTGTAGTCCCAGCTGCTCAGGAGGCTGAAGTGGGTGGATCACTTGAGCCCAGGAGCCCAAGGCTGCAGTGAGCTGTGATTGTGCCACTGCACTCCAGCCTGGGTGATAAAGACCCTGTCTCAATAAAAAGAAAAAAAAATTCCAAAGAACAAAAAATTTCACCATCCAGTAATTCTCACAAAGTACTAAATTTATTTCTGGATTCTAAGTGGCTAAGTGGCTAAGTGCTAAGTGGCTAAGTGCTAAGTGGATTCTAAGTGGCTAAGTGCTTCTTTGAATGACTTGCTAAAGAAAAAGGTACCAGGAAATACATTAATCACTACCACAACAAAGGAGTGAAGCTGGGGTTCAAAGTCATAGTTCGAACTGGAGAAGCCTCTTATTTGTTGGGTGATGTAAACAGAGAAATGAGCTCTGTTTGCAGGAGTTCTCAGGCTAGTGGTTTCTTATTCCAATGGCTTAATAAAAATAAATTTAGTAAAGTTTTAGATAAGCAAGTTATTGGAGGTAAGATTCAAATATTATAGTAAGAGACCAAAAAAAAAAAAAAAAGACCCAACAGAAGTATGTTTAGGGTATATTTCAGGTTTGGTCAGGAACTATTTAGAGCAGATTTGAATGGGGTGAAATATCAAGGAAAGTTCCAGGCATGGGTGTGATGGGTGTGGTGGCTAAAGCATTGGCAG
This sequence comes from Homo sapiens, assembly GCF_000001405.40. NCBI lineage: Eukaryota > Metazoa > Chordata > Mammalia > Primates > Hominidae > Homo > Homo sapiens. The sequence goes on along the minus strand of NC_000012.12, from coordinate 27,109,841 downwards.
GACACTGTAATTTTTTGCAGGGTTGCTGACTAACTGATGTCTTAGGTCAGGCTCGCTACCCAGAATTTCTGTGAAGAAAAGAAAGGCCATAAGAAAATCAGCAAGTTTCTTTCGAACTTTTGTGAGAATTACATCTGTCCTAGCTTTCTCAGCTTTCTTTAGGTAAAATGCTTGGGTTTGAAAGAGAACCCTGAACTTCTTACCCAAGATAGATACAATTCACTGAGACTAAGACACTTAGAAGAAATCTTCAGAAGAAGGGAGAATGTTCACATACATTCGACTAGGCTGGTAGAACGCCACAGTATTCTGTGGTCATTATGAAAATAGAGTATCTTTTCACACAAATTACTCATACATTTCTCAACAGTTTAGTTTTTAATTTTTTTTCCAGCAAGAAGCTGCTTCAGAAGGTTAATCAATTACACAATGATTGCCAATGTGTGCAGCAATACAATCTTAGCAAAGATAAACTATCTAAAAATCAGATCATATTTGGTAGCACAACAGGGTGAAAACTGTCAACAATAACTTACTGTACATTTATAAATAACTAAAAGAATATAATTGGAATGTCCATAACACAAAGAAATGATAGATGCTTGAGGTGACAGACACCCCATTTACCCTGATGTGATTATTACGTGATGTATGCCTGTATCAAAATATCTCATGTACCCCATAAAGACTCACACCTACTATGTACTCATAAAAATTAATTTAAAATAAAAAACAAAACAGATCAAAAGGGAGAAGCAGGCACTAATAGGTCTGTGTTTTGGAAAAACAGCATCACCTGTGAGCTAGTAAGAAATGCAAATGGTGGCTCATGCCTGTCAGCCCAGTACTTTGGGAGGCCAAGATGGGTGGATCACTTGAGGTCAGGAGTTTGACACAATCCTGGCCAACAAGGCCAAATCCTGTCTCTACTAAAAATACAAAAATTAGCCAGGTGTGGTGATGCACACCTGTAGTCCCAGCTACTTGGGAGGTTGAGGCAGGAGAATTGCTTGAACCCAGGAGGTGGAGGTTGCAGTGAGCCGAGATCACACCTCTCACCACCGCACTCCAGCCTGAGTGACAGAGCGAGACTCCGTCTCAAAAAAAAAAAAAAAGAAAAAGAAAAAGAAAAAAAAAGAAAGAAATGCAAATCCCTGGACCCCACCCTAGGTCTGCTGAATCAGAAACTTCAGGGGCAGGCCCAGCAATCTGTGTTTTTCCGAGCCCTCCCACTGGCTCTGAGGCGCACTCAATCACTAGACTCACACACACTGAGGCCTTTCCTCCTTGGGACAAAAAGCCCTGCCCAGATGAGGTGGAAATTGGCTACCAAAGTAAAAAATAAGGGTAGAATTCCTCTCCCCACACCTCAGTTTCTTACTTTTGATCCCAAAATAACAGCTCTGAAGAAGCCATTCAGGTTTTAATTCAAAAAATCTCTCCCTTTAAACCTCAACCACTATAGGTTCATATGTCTGCAACATTTTAGAGATTCTTAAATACAACCCTCCTTGTTTTCTGGTTCTCTGCTATGTATCTGTCATCACATACTTTTTTCCTCCCCACTCTATTAGCCCAAACCCTTCTCACCACCAATCTGCTCCAACATCCCTAGAAAATTAATTCAGAATCACTTGGAAAGGGCAAAACGAGGGCAGGGGAAGTGATGAAACCGGAAAAGGTCAGGAGTGTTGGCAGCAGGGGCGATACCTAATGTTACAACACACATTTTTTTTAATGGGGTTTGGCTGTATTACCCAGGCTAGCCTTAAACTCCTGGGCTCAAGTGATCCTCCCAACTCAGCCTCCTCAGGAGGCTTCAAACTGTAAAATAAGGCCAGGCACAGTGGCTTACCCCTGTAATCCCAGCACTTTGGGAGGCCGATGCGGGCAGATCATTTGAGGTCAGGAGTCCGAGATCAGCCTGGTTAACATAGTGAAACCCCATCTCTACAAAAAACACAAAAATTAGCCAGGCGTGGTGGCGTGCACCTGTAGTCTTAGCTACTTAGGACGCTGAAGCAGAAGAATCACTTGAACCTGGAAGGCAGAGATTGCAGTGAGCCGAGATAGTGCCACTGCACTCCAGCCTGGGTAACACAGCAAGAAAAAAAAAAAAAACTATAAAATAAGTTTAGAGTGGATGGTATAACTGGAAACTTGAACAGCATGTATTTGATATTAAGGAATTACTGTCATTCTAAGGTTATTAATAATGCTATTATAACTTATCTTTGTTGAGTCCTTATTTTTTAGAGCCAAGTAGCAAAATACTCATAGATGAAATAATATATTTCGAATTTGTTTTAAAATAAAATAGAAGAAAATAGGGTAAAGATATTGATAAAACAAGATTAGCCATAAGTTGATAATTGTTGAAAATGGGTGATGGTATTTGAGGGTACACTATACTATCTATCTATACATATATTTTTTGAAACAGAGTCTCATTCTATCGCCCAGGCTGTAGTGCAGTGGTGCAAACATGGCTCACTGCAGCCTTAACTTCTCCAGGCTCAAGCAATACCCCCATCTCAGCCTCCCAAGTAGCTGGGGCTACCACACCTGGCTAATTTTTGTATTTTTTGTAGAGACAGGGTTTCGCCATGTTGCCCAGGCTGGTCTTGAACTCTTGGGTTCAAGCGATACGCTCACCTCAGCCTCCCAAGTACTGGGAATACAAGTGTGAGCCACTGCACCCAGCTGGGTATTCTATCTATGTTTTTATATATTTGAAGCTTTCCATAATAAAACATTTCCATTTTTATCCATATATTTAAACCATAAAATTTTCAAACACCTTCAACCATGATATATTGTCTTAGATATTTTATTTCTCTACCATAACCTCAAGCATACTAAGGGCTCACCAAATATTTATAAACCAAATAACACAATACTTGTTATTTTAACCACCCTCACAAACACAAACACACACATGCACACGCACATTCAGAAAATGAAACACCTGCTCACAGAGGATTATAAGGCAGAGTACAAAAGAGGGCGTATTAATGACAATACATTAGTAAAAGTTACTTCTCTTGTTCACTACAATGAAATGCCACAAAATACAAAAAAGCAAAGCTAGTAAGTAATCAAATAAATGAAGCAGCAAGGGAAAATAGGATGAGGTAAAAGGAAATGAGCCCTCTGGCTCTCTGCTATTAATGCTTAGGAATAACCAGAAGAGAGTTGATGAAAAGGTTTATACAATAAGCCAAGATCTTTTACTTCTCAAATAAAGGATGCTGCTGCTATTGAAAAACTGATGTGTATTAAATGTCAGTAGATTTGAAGATCTTGTGATAAGTTGAAAGAAAGCCCCATTTCTCGATATCTACTCTTACTAGCTATTGTTATGACTACATGGAGAAGTTAGGAATTTGTTCAAGGTCACTGAAGAAGTGAGATTTGAGTCCAAAACCCATGTTGTTCCCATGTATTCCTCTCACTCATTCAGTAGGTATTTAACAAACAACTATTAGGCCTTGACTGGGATCACCAACCTTGACCTCCCTCACATGTTTCTAATCCAAACTATAAACTATGTACAGGACTGCCAGCCTCCCACCATACTGCAAAGACATGCCCTGCTTGGAAGACATTTCTAACCTCTCACCTCTGTGCCATGACACGCACTGATCCCCCTACTTCTTGGGCCCTCTTCTATGTCCTGGGACACATGTTTTCAAGGTGGGTCAGGCATTCTTTCCTCCAAGGCCAGCCCGACTGCCACCACCATGACAGCCCTGATTTTACAGTGATTGTCTCCTGGACAAAGCTGTGCACTCCTTGAAAACAGACTGTGTTTCTGCTATCTGTTCCCCATAATCTAGTGTGGTAGACACCAAATGCTTGCTGTGTGCAGCTATGACTCAGTGGCCCTGCAAACACATACACGCTCTGATGTCTTAAGTACTCCAGATCCTATATGCGTAATTCAGAAAACTACATCCTGACCTTTACTTGTTTTTGTTTGATTTTTTTTTTTTTTTGAGACAGGGTCTTGGCTCTGTCACACAGGATGGAGTGCAGTGGCATGATCGCGGCTCACTGCAGCCTTGACCTCCTGGGCTCAAGTGATCCTCCCACCTCAGCCTCCCCAGTAGCTAGGACTACAAGGTGGGCACCACCATGCTCAGCTGATTTTTTATTTTTAGTAGAGGGCAGGTCTCACTACGTAGCCCAGGCTGGTCTAAAACTCTGAGCTGAAGCAATCCTTCCGCCTTGGCTTCCCAAAGTGCTGGGGTTACAGGTGGGAGACACTGCACCCAGCCATGACCTTAACTTTTAAGATACATTTAGATAAACGTGATTATTGCTATCAGCCTTGCTATGCACAATCTTAAAAAGTGAAATTTCATGCTCTTCGAGATGTAGGTGAATCAAATTCATTGTACTATTTTAGAATGACATTATTCCTAAGAGTTTGCAAACTTAGTCCCCAGTATTATGGAGGAGTATCGGTGGGTCTGTTTCAACTTGTTATTGCTCTAACCACTCGAACTCTAACCTCATTCTTCCCTTCTTTTTAGCTCTTAAAAACCTGGAGACTCATCTATCTCTATTTTCCTTCACAGGCCTACCAACCTAATGTATGCAGGCTACATGGACTGCTTCCTAGATGTAAACAGTTCTGGGATATGTATACCTATAGGAAGACAGGAGTGAGCAACAGCTACTCATAGTTCTGAAGAAGAAAAGAATAACAAATTCCTATACACAAGCACCTTCTAAAGGAATGTTTTATAAATCGTGGGTCACAACTGCTAAAATTGGAACATACTGAAATAGAATTAATAGATTGAAATCAGCATTTCTTTGTATTAAATAGACAACAAAAGAGTAGTTCATCAGAAGTAAAGGTTAAGCATTATCGTGTGAAAATTCTGATTTGATTATTCAGACACACACATACACACACACGTACCTGCAACAAATATTGATTGAGGGCCTCCTATGTGCCAGGTATTAGAGGCAGAACAGTGAAAAAGACCAAGAAAAGCGAAGCTCTGCCTTTAGGTGGCTGACATTCCAGTGGTTTCAGAGTATGTGTGTGTGTGTGTCTGCACAGGCATGTACACACTCATGTGTTTTACAACCTAAGAATGCATACTTTATACTGGGATAAAAACGTTTGAAAACCACTGCTCTGAAGTGGTGTTGCTTAGAATGTGGTCTGTGGACTGGAGCTGGTGCACGAACTGTTGCTGGTCTACTATAAGTACAGAAATTGAGAATAACCACTTTAACAACTGCATAGCAACTTGACCTTGCTGTGATATCCAATTATGTGATAGTTCTGCTGGCAACTCAATTTTCTTTTTAAATTGAATTTTAGAAAACAGATTAATTCATGATGGAAAACAAAATGAGGCACATTGGCCAGGTGTCTTGGGAGTAGGTTACATCACACTCTGATTGGAAACCGCAGCCATGGACCACAGCTGTAAAAAGGTGCAACACAGGGAGCAAGAAAACCCCAACAAATGGGGAGTATGGTCCAGGTTTGTTCTTTCCACACATATAAAATGATGAAGACAATTAAACGGCAAGTGGAAAACTGTTAGCACCGACAATAAGGATGGGCTGCTAAGTTCAGAAGAGGTGACACAAAAACCATTTCTGGTTGCATAAAATTTACATCAGTTGCAGTCACATAGTTGGACTGCTTATTTGCCTAATTATGATGCATCATCTGACCTGCTTTAATTACACCAATAAAAGCTATATAATTTGTGTTAAAGTTTCAGTTTGTCACATGGTCAAAACTCACTGTATTAAAAAGCTGGAAGAAACTTGCTAGCATATAAAATTGATTGGGAAGACTGGTAAAAACTGTGGGCTAGGAAACAGTTTTGTGGAGGAATAAGTTTTCATAAATAATCTTATAAACTCAACAGTTTGTCTTGTAGGTAATTTCTGTTGGTTTCTATTCCAACTGGGTGTCAGTTACACTCTTGGCCATACAGTAAGAGGAATGCCAACACTGCTTGTTCCTTTATAGCACACGTGCTCCTGGCCAGAATCACCAGTTTTCGGCTGTTGGAGAAGAGAAATGAAAACCAGAGCCCTGAAACTGTACAGCTGGAAAGTTCAAAATATATTCTTAACATTGTTATTTCCTAATAAAATATTAAGAGACATATGGAAAATTTGTATACTGAGCCAAATACTAAGGGGTAATGTAATGCTTTTCAAATTATTCATATTTCAGTTCTGAGTGAATAGCACTAATTGCTGGCTGAAGGGAGGAGTAATGAGGGGGAAAGTAAGGCCAAAAATTATTCCCCAACCCAGGAGTTGGCAAACTATGACCTATGGTCAAATCTAGCCCACTGCCTGTTTTTATAAAGTTTCTTTGGAACACAGTCACATTCATTCGTTTACATATCATCTATGGTGGCTTTCATGCCACAACAGCAAAGTTGAGTAGTTGTAACTCACGAAGCCTAAAATATTTACTATCTGGCTCTTTGCAGAAAATGTTTCCAGCCCCTTCCCTAACCTACCTTATCCTACAGCCTCCTGAAAGTGCACAGACTCTTCTCTCATTCACCCACTGATTACACAATATTTATTGAGTACCTATTGTATATCAGGCACTATTCTAAGTGGTGAAGCTGGCAACTCAATTTTCTTTTTAAATTGAATTTAAAAAGTAATGAAGAAAAAGCAAAGAAAGAAAATAGAAAAGGAAAAAAAGTAAAAAGTTGTTGCTCTGATGGCACATACATTCTAATGGCAAGAAACCACAAAAAATAGTTTAAATACATAGCAGATGAGAGGGTGATTGATAAGTGCTATGGGAAAAATAATGAAGCAAGCAAGAGGAATAACATTAACATTAGCTTACTATGTACCGGGCACTGTTTTTTAGTGCTTTTCATATATCAATTCAATTAATCTTTACAATAACCCTAATGACACGATACTTATCCCCACTTTATTAGTGATCAAACTGAGGCACCAAGTCACACAGCTAGAAAAATGATGTGAAGTCAGACAGTCTGGCAGCAGAGCATGTCCGCTTAATTATATACTGTGCCAGCTCTTCGTGCAGAAAGGGAATGGCAGGGACTTAGAAGTTTTGATCTGATAATCAGGGAGGGCCCCATTGGTAAAGTGACATTGATTAAAACCTTGAAGAAGGTGAGGGGAGAAAGTCACAGGAATATCTGGGAAGAGATTCCAGGGAGAAACAACAGTAAGTGCAAAGGCCCCGAGGAGGGGGAGCTTCATGTAGTTGATGTTTGAGGTCAGTGGGCTGGAAGGTGGTGAGCCGGGGGGTTAGTAGGGAATGTGGTCCCAGAGGCACAGAAGGTGTGGTGGGAGTGGTGCGGTAGTGGGATCTGGGGCCTCACAAGCCATGGCAGCCAGGCTTTGACTTCAATTGAGCATGGAGATGGAAGGCCACTGGAGGGTTCTGAGCCAAGGAATGACATGATCTGATTTCTGTTTTATGAAGAATCATTCCTGGCCGGGTGCAGTGGCTCACGCCTGTAATCCCAGCACTTTGGGAGGCCGAGGCAAGCGGATCACGAGGTCGGGAGATGGAAACCATCCTGGCTAACACAGTGAAATCCCATCTCTACTAAAAATACAAAAAAAATTAGCCGGCGTGGTGGCAGGCGCCTGTAGTCCCAGCTACTCGGGAGGCTGAGGCAGGAGAATGGTGTGAACCCGGGAGGCAGAGCTTGCAGTGGGCCGAGATCGCGCCACTGCACTCCAGCCTGGGCGACAGAGCGAGACTCCATCTCAAAAAAAAGAAAAAAAAAAAAGAAGAAGAATCATTTCTAAGAACACACTGCAGGTGTGGCAAAGATAAAAACAAGAACAGTCAAAAAATGACTACAACAATTCAGATGAGAGGTTCTGTTGGTGGCTCGGGTCAGGGTGTGAGCAGTAGAGATGGTGATTGGACACTAGCTATGTACGTATGTGTGAATACACATATAGTAAATATGTATATATACATACATAAAATGCATATTGCTATATATATATTCTGAATATAAAATGTATATTACCATACATATTAGGATGCATTACACATATGAATTAAGTTATAATTTAGAGAGTAAAATGCACAGCTCTTTGCTGCACAGTTTGATGCATTCTGACAAATGAACATACCCCTAACAAGATAGCAACGTTTCTATTGCCTTGTGTATATTTTTGTTATAAACGCTAACAGAACTTGATAGAGCATTTGGGAGAAAAGATGAACTCAAGACTATGGCCTAAGCCATAGGAGGATGGAGTGGCCATTTACTGAGGCAAGTAACTGCCCACTCTCAACTTCTGAGTATGACAGCATTTCCTTCATCCACCAAAGGAAGGAAACAGGAGGAACTATAAAAGTATCATCTAGGTGAGTCATTACCCTGCCATCCTTTACACTGAAATTTGATGAAATACAGCCAGCCCTCCATATCCATAGGTGCCCCATCAGTGGATTCAAACAACCATGAATAGAAAATATTTGAAAAAAAATTGCGTCTGTGACTAAACAGGTACAGACTTTTTCTTGTCATTATTCCCTAAACAATACGACAAAGATTTACATAGCATTTATATTGTATTAGGTGTTATAAGTAATCTAGTGAGGATATAAAGTATACAGGAGGAGATTCCAAGGTTTTAGGCAAATGCAATGCCATTTTATATCAGGGAATTGAGCATCTCTGGATTTTGGTATCTGTGGGAGGTCCTGGAACCAACCCCCCATGAATACCCAGTGACAACTGTGCCTGGATCTTATATATAAAAACTGAATGTCATGGCAGAATACTCAAGGAAGATTACCACATCATCAAGTACTCCTATAGCACTTGTTGTCTCTCCCCACACCCATTCTCTCTCAGCCTCTGTTACCAAGTACCATATGGAACCACGGGTTATCTCTAATAGATGTTATATTTGGCTAAGGAAAAAGTATGTCTCTGGCAAGCAGTCTTGCCTAACCAGGTCCTTGGAGTGTTGCCTGTACTAAATCAAGCTTTTTAAGGACTAAGGACCCATTCTTAAAATTTCTATACCAGATCTATGGCAATGAAAAGGGTGAAACTCAGTAAAATATCTTGAAAAGATTTATTCTGAGCCAAATATGAGTGACAAATAGCCCATGACACAGCCCTCAGGAGATCCTGAGAACATGTGCCCAAGGTGGTCAGGCTACAACTTGCTTTTATAAATTTTAGGGAAACATAAGGCATCAATCAATACATATAAGATCTACATTGGTTCAGTCCAGAAAGGGAGCACAACTAGGGTGGTTAGTTCCAGATCATAGGTAGATTCAGTGAATTTCTGATTGGTAATGGGTTAAAAAAGTTGTTATTATCTAAAGACTTAGAATCAATAAAAAGGAATGTCTGGGTTAAGATGAGAGGTTGTGGAGACCAAGGTTTTATCATGCAGATGAAGCCTCCAGGTAGGAAGCTTCAGAGAATAGACTGTCAATGTTTCTTATCAGACTTTAAAAGATTATTCTATCAGTAATTCCAAAAAGGAGGAGGGAATAATGAGTAATGTTGGGCTCCCCCTTCCCATCATGGCCTAAACTAGTTTTTCGGGTTAACTTTGGAATGCCCTTGGCCGAGAGGAGGGGTCCATTCAGGTGGTTGGAATTTTATTTTTGGTTTACACTTACCATGGTGATCATGAAATAAATAATAACTATTTGTATCCATCAAAACAAAACTATTCCTTTATCACCACCAAACATGCTTTGCAGTACTGCAGAGGAAAGAATAGAATATTAATGGACTTGTTAGACTCTGACTCTTTCATGTCTTAGAGTATCAACTTAGATTTTGTTTTCATTTCAATAAAAGTTCTGACAACCCATAACTTTAAGAAGAGAGGGAATGAGGGAGGCAGAGAAGCAGAAGAGAGGAAATGTGTTGAACTGTCTTGACAGGAACTTGAAAACTTGCTTTTACCACAGCTACATGTTGAGTGACATGGGCAGGGCTACCAAAAGACCAATATAGTCAGGATTTTCCACATTTTACTGTCTCATGACTAGTGCTCCAAAGTGACATGAATAAATTCATACATTTACTCATATACATAATTATATATATATATGTATAGTCAGCCCTCCATATCCACAGATTTCATATCCATGAATTTAACCAACCACAAATTTAAAATATTCAAAGAAAAACAAATACAAATTTTAAAATACAGTATAGCAACTATTTACATAGCATGTGCATTGTGGTAGGTATTCTAAGTAATCTAGAGATGACTTAATGTATATAGTAGGATGTATGTAGGTTATATGCCAATACTACATCATTTTATATAAGGAACTTGAGCCTCTATTGATTTTGGGATCCTCAGGAGAGCCTAGAAAAAATCTTCCATGGATACCAAGGGACAACTGTACTTTATTCACAGAGTATTTCTCATTTACCTACCAAAGAGTATTTCTCATTTGCCTACTCTTTATTCAAAGAGTATTTCTCATTTACCTACCTACCTACCTACTTTACTCAAGGAGTATATCTCATTTACCTACCATTTACCCACTTACCATGTACCAGAAACTGATCTAGGAACTGAGGAGCTTCCGTTTGATTGACCATCTCCAATTCTGTATTTGCTTCCAATTAAGTCCATCTCATGGACCTGGTGAAGGGATCCCACCTGCCAGAGACATACCTTTTCCCTAGCTAAGTACAGCATCTGCCTTATTTTTAAGTGGCACCTCGAAACTTGAGTATTCTAAGTGATCAGGGTATACATTCTACTTAATGGGGTGTTTATTTGAGCCTAAAAACAAGGCTGGGGAACAATATACTTTTCAAAGTTTTGCTATTTATGCCATCTGTATTGGATGTCTTTGAATTATCTTCATCTCAGGATGCTTCAATTCCTGCCCTCTATTAAAGAGTAATAGAGTATTAAAATTTATTTTTCCTTATGAAAAATAAGGAAGGCCCAAATGTGTAAGCAAAAAGTTAAAGAATTCTTGGGCTAGAAGGTTTTTTATTCTTTCCTTTTTAAAGTCTCATTCTGTCACACAGGCTGGATGGAGTGCGGTGGCCTAATCATGGCTCACTGTAGCCTCAACCTCCCGGGCTTAAGTGATCTTCCTGCCTCAGCTTCCCAAGTAGCTGGAATCACAGGTATGTACCACTACACTCGGCTAATATTTTTATTTTGGGTAGAGACAAGGTCTCCCTATGTTGCCCAGGCTGCTCTTGAACTTGTGGGCTCAAGTGATCCTCCCATCTCAGCCTCCCAAAGTGCTGCGATTACAGGCATGAGCCACCATGCATGGCCAAGGATGTCTTAATATAGTGATGAGAGGGGAAACTAACAGCTGCTAGGGACAAATATCTACTAAAACCATTTTACCAGGAGATAGGAAGAGAGATTAGTCCTAGAGTAGCCACCCTGACTATTCTGGACCTGGGGTGTGGAGTCCAAGGAGTAGTGCTTTATGGATGTGTGTGGGGAAGGCAAGGTCATTGTCTTCCCAAAGGAAGGAACTGGGAGCTATTTGATTGTGATCTACCCCAAGAAAGAGGAGGTAAAACTAAACACAAGAATAGTCCCTAGTGCTGGAGAGCTAGCTCACAGGACTGACGTCAAGGGCCAAAGAAATATTGCTGGGCCTGACACTTCAGCTCTGTGAATGAAATTTTTAAAACATCCTTACATCTAAGCTCTGATAGCATATCTACCCTGGAGAGAGTACTTTTGTCAATTCAGATATTGGAATTTATGTGTAATACCCAGGGTTTCTTATCTTCAGAGAAGTCAAATGCCAGAACCATCAGGTCACCAGATGGAAGATGGAAGGTCTGGGCTCCTCTCTTGGCTACCCAGCTCCTTGGGAGTTTCTGTTTTCCTCTAGGATTTTCTCCAACAGAAAGCCAGGCATGGCAATCAGGGAGAGTCTAACTGCAGTTTATGAAGAGGTTTTGGTCTTTGGCACTGAAATTATTCAGACCTAAAAGAGCCTCTCAAGCCACCTAATTTCTTCTAGAGATATGGGGTACCAAGCATTCCTCTGCTCAGATACAATCAATAGCTCATGCTATTCCACCCTGCTACAGGCTTAGAGAGGTATGGATGATGATGATGATGATGATGATGATGATTATGTGTATTATCTAACCCACCCTAAATTCTGTTTTCTGAAGGGATAAGCCGTTTTATTAACAGGTTACTGATATTTTGGAATATACTTGAGGAGAGACAAAATTTGACTCATTTAATAAAAAGGGAGACAATCTTCCATTCCACCTGATCTCTTAGGATAGGGGGAACAAAATATGGGTTGTATTTCAGGGCCCAGAAGCTAAGAGGGTACATACCAGTCACATTAGCACGTGACATGCTTCGGGAACAGGGAGTAGGGTGAGTTTTGAAGTACAGGTGGAGCTGGGCGCCATGGCTTACACCTGTAATCCCAGCACTTTTGGAGGCAGAGGCAGGAGGATCGCTTAAGCCCAGGAGTTCAAGACCAGCCAGGCAACATAGTGAGACCTTATCTCTATTAAAACAAACAAAAATTAGCTGGGTGTGGTGACACACATCTGTAGTCCCAGCTACTCAGGAGGCTGAGGTTGGAGGATCACTTGAGTCTGGGAGGTCGAGGCTGCAGTGAGCTGTGATTGCACCATTGCACTTCAGCCTGGGTGACAGAGTGAGACCCCGTCTCAAAACAAACAAACAAACAAACAAACAGACAAACAAAAAGCAATAAAGTACAGATGGAGCATACAAGTATGCCTGATGTCAGTGGGCTGCAGAGAGAGAGGCTTGGCAGATGCCTTGACCTCCCAGAAACTGGGAAAGGCCCAGAGTAGAAAAGGAAGATAGTATAAAAGGTGCTTCAAGAACCTGCACCTCTGATGGCATCCCTGGACAACATCAGAATGACCTGCTAGAAAAGCCAGCTGCAATTTCTTGGTATAAACATTCAATCCAAAGCACTGGAGAGCTGTGAATGTCAAAACTGCACAACTAAACGAGGCTAATGTGGAAAATGAGGGATATGCAAGAATGGCGTAACTAAAGCAAGATGTCAAGTGAAAACACACTACAGATCAACTAACTACTTTTAAAATCCTCAGAACTGGAATGTTAGACATGTTACAGGTCATGGACTTGAGGGGGAAAGAAGTGGTCCCCTTGTTCAAGGAGCTGCTGTCATATTTGCTTTCATTTACCTAATACTTTTTGGCCTAATGACTCATGAAACATGAGAGAGAGAGAGAGAGCAAGATAGAGTCAGAGAGTCAGAGAGCGAGAGAGAGCAAGCACAATGTTGACTGCAGAACTAATACCATGAGGTCTATTGGGTCTGGAAAAAAGGAATAAAATTCAACTACTTTATGGAAATAGGTTCAGTTTATATACAATTCCAAAATAAGCATAGCTAAAAAAACACAAAATAAATACAGCTTGATTTCTGAGGCTAATTTGTGTTGAGGTTCAACTATGGATGGTGTGATGGGTTTAATTGTGTCCTTCCAAAATTTATATGTTGAAATCCTAAGCCCCAGAACCTCAGAATGTGACCTTATTTGGATATAGGGTTTTTATACAAGCACTATATAGGCAACAATCTGCTGTCCACAATATATTCTTTTCAGTGACAACATTCAGCCAACTGCCTTTCATGCCCCAGTAATGAAATTCAATTAGATACAGCATATTTGGCAATTCCAGTATCATAACAAACATTTACAGACTGATTACTTGCTCCCAGATTCAAATTCTGTTCCTACTGAGAGATATGGCAATCACCTCCAGAGAGTGTCCATTAGAGTTTGAAATTACAAAGCAATTGTGCATGTGTGGTTGTTTTTCATACTTTCCTATATTCCCCGCCTCACCATTAGTAAAATTGAGGTACTTCCATAAACATAAAAAACAGAAAACTAACTGAACTCATATTCAACACAGAGTTAAAAACAAGAAACAAAACTGTCTCTAAGTCAATGACAAAAGTATAAGCAAAATCATAGCAATATTTATTCAGTGTTTGTTCAGGGAGAGGTTCATGCTAGGATCCTGGTAGAGACACACAGATATATGATATATACATCAAAGCAATCTAATGATTGATGAATAGTTTTATACGGCCTTTAAAAGTGATCAGTTTTAATTTGTATAGGATCATTCATACTCAGCAAGAATTAAGTCTCCTCCCATGTTTTCTGCTGCCAGCACTCAAATACTTCAAGCCATTTCCACAAGAGCAAACATGTCAGATGAAAAAACATTGTGCCTCTCCAACGAGGCCTTCCTCCACACAGTAAAACATCATGGTCTGGGCACTTTAAGTGCTCAGTGCCAAACTTAGATGCCAGCAGCTAGAGACACTCTAGGTTGTAAATCACACCTGGTCTTCAACTCTGAAAAATAGCTACAGAACTAGCATCATAGACAGAACCATGCTGGCTTGGAAAGGTAAATATACAATGTCATCCTAGCCAAATTTGCTTCCAAACTTGTTTTAATTTGGAAGCAAACTGACTGAGATCTCCAGAGGAGGTCACCATTCTGGCTGTGCAGGTCATGTCCTTCACAGAGTGTCTCACCCTGGGTGCACAGACGCTGAAATCCAATCCATGCAGCTTGGGGGCTGCATTCACCTGGAGGGGCACCATTTTCTAATTCGCCCAGGCTCTCCAAGGACAAGTAGTGGTTCTTTCCCAAGACCTTGTTTTCAAAAAGCAATAGACTGGGGCCATTTGTCAGTTTTAATCTTAATTAAAATGTCATCTGCAAGTGTCACATTCACCCTCTTCTCTATGGATACCCCTGGGATATTCATCTAGGATTATCTCCGTGAAGAGCAGTGGCTTTAAACACCTTCAGTTCAGGAAGTGAAACAGTCAGTGGGACCGGAGTGTAGAGAACAAAAGGGGAAATGGCTGCAAATGAGCCTGAAAATGTGGGTGAGGCCATGTCATGCAGGGCCCATGGGACCATTTTGAGAATTTAAAGATTATCTTAAAAACAGTCAGATGCCATTGACAGGTCTTAAGTACCTAAATATGATTTGTGTTTCTAAAAAAAAAAGTCTCTCTGCCTCCTATACAATAATAACCAGAAGGGATCCCGAGAAGATGTGGGAAGAGCCAGTTGGGAGTTGGTAGACTGGACCAGGTGGAGGTAGTGAAGGCAACAGAAGTAGACAGATGTAACATATGTTAGGATATGGGACCGACGGGACTTTCTGAGTGACTGTATGCAGGAATGAAAGTGTGTGAGAGAAGGAATGACGTCCAGGATGAGGCCAGCCTGTGGTACTGAAAAGATGGGCAGATGAGGATGCCATTTCTAAAGAACACTGGATGATGACCATGAGTACAGTTTTAGAGTTGAGACTTCTATAAAGCAGCAAATTAAAAGGCCTTCATAATAAAATATGATATTCCATACCTATGGTTTTCTAAAATAAAATCTGAGACATGCAGTTCTGATCAGAGTTTTAGAAGTACTTGGCTGCATGCTGAATATAAGATCGCAGTTCTCGGATGGGAACAGCAGCAGCTGTGACCAGGCAGCCCAGTTTTGGGAAGGCTCTCGGTGCACCACAGCCTGCAGACACCCAGCCCACACCCTCCATGCCACCAAGATGTCCAAGAGGAAGGTTAGCTCAGCTGAAGGGTCGGTGAAGGGAGACCCCATGAAGAGATCTGCAAGGTGGTCAGCTAAACCTGCTCCTACAAAGCGAAACAAAGCCCAAAAAGGCAGCAGGAAAGGATAAATCTTCAGACAAAAAAAAAAAAAAGCAAATGAAAGAGGAAAAAGGTAAAAACAGGCTGAAGTGCCTGATCAAGAAACTAAAGATTTATCTGCAGAAAGTGGAGACACTGAAAACAAGGAGAGTCCAGCCTCGGATGAAGCCACAGATAAAGACATCAAGAGTCTGAGTAATATCACATACTATGTCTTATCAGTGTCCCTGACTCCCTTCTTGTACAATCCAGAGGAATATTTTTACCCACTATTTTGTAAATGCAAGTTTTTTAGTAGTTCTAGGAATATTTTTAAGGAGAGAGTCTTCTGCTAGCTTTTGAATGTGTTTGCTCTTGCTTCTCTAGTTCTTTTAATTGTGATGTTAGGGTGTCAATTTTAGATCTTTCCTGCTTTCTCTTGTGGGCATTTAGTGCTATAAATTTCCCTCTACACACTGCTTTGAATGTGTCCCAGAGATTCTGGTATGTGGTATCTTTGTTCTCGTTGGTTTCAAAGAACCTCTTTATTTCTGCCTTCATTTCGTTATGCAACCAGTAGTCATTCAGGAGCAGGTTGTTCAGTTTCCACGTAGTTGAGCGGTTTTGAGTGAGTTTCTTAATCCTGAGTTCTAGTTTGATTGCACTGTGGTCTGAGAGACAGTTTGTTATAATTTCTGTTCTTTTACATTTGCTGAGGAGTGCTTTACTTCCAACTATATGGTCAATTTTGGAATAAGTACGGTGTGGTGCTGAGAAGAATGTATGTTCTGTTGATTTGGGGTGGAGAGTTCTGTAGATGTCTATTAGGTCCCCTTGGTGCAGAGCTGAGTTCAATTCCTGGATATCCTTTTTAACTTTCTGTCTCCTTGATCTGTCTAATGTTGACAGTGGGGTGTTAAAGTCTCCCATTATTATTGTGTGGGAGTCTAAGTCTCTTTGTAAGTCTCTAAGGACTTGCTTTATGAATCTGGGTACTCCTGTATTGGGTGCATATATATTTAGGATAGTTAGCTCTTCTTGTTGAATTGATCCATTTACCATTATGTAATGGCCTACTTTTTCTCTTTTTATCTTTGTTGGTTTAAAGTCTGTTTTATCAGAGACTAGGATTGCAACCCCTGCCTATTTTTGTTTTCCATTTGCTTGGTAGATCTTCCTCCATCCCTTTATTTTGAGCCTATGTGTGTCTCTGCATGTGAGATGGGCTTCCTGAATACAGCACCCTGATGGGTCTTGACTCATTATCCAATTTGCCAGTCTGTGTCTTTTAATTGGAGTACTTAGCCCATTTACATTTAAGGTTAATATTGTTATGTGTGAATTTGATCCTGTCATTATGATGTTAGCTGGTTATTTTGCTCGTTAGTTGATGCAGTTTCTTCCTGGCCTCGATGGTCTTTACAATTTGGCATGTTTTTGCAGTGGCTGGTACCGGTTGTTCCTTTTCACGTTTAGTGCTTCCTTCAGGACCTGTTTTAGGGCAGGCCTGGTGGTGACAAAAATCTCTCAGCATTTGCTTGTTTGTAAAGGATTTTATTTCTCCTTCACTTATGAAGCTTAGTTTGGCTGGATATAAAATTCTGGGTTGAAAATTCTTTCTTTAAGAATGTTAAATATTGGCCCCCACTCTCTTCTGGCTTGTAGAGTTTCTGCCGAGAGATCCGCTGTTAGTCTGATGGGTTTCCCTTTGTGGGTAACTCGACCTTTCCCTCTGGCTGCCCTTAACATTTTTTCCTTCATTTCAACTTTGGTGAATCTGACAATTATGTGTCTTGGAGTTGCTCTTCTCGAGGAGTATCTTTGTGGCATTCTCTGTATTTCCTGAATTTGAACGTTGGCCTGCCTTGCTAGATTGGGGAAGTTCTCCTGGATAATATCCTGCAGAGTGTTTTCCAACTTGGCTCCATTCTCCCCATCACTTTCAGGTACACCAATCCGATGTAGATTTGGTCTTTTCACATAGTCCCATATTTCTTGGAGGCTTTGTTCATTTCTTTTTATTCTTTTTTCTCTAAACTTCTCTTCTCGCTTCATTTCATTCATTTGATCTTCCATCACTGATACCTTTCTTCCAGTTAATCGAATAGGCTACTGAGGCTTGTGCATTCATCACATAGTTCTCATGCCATGGTTTTCAGCTCCATCAGGTCCTTTAAGGACTTCTCTGCATTGGTTATTCTAGTTAGCCATTCGTCTAATCTTTTTTCAAGGTTTTTAACTTCTTTACCATGGTTTCGAACTTCCTCCTTTAGCTTGGAGAAGTTTGATCATCTGAAGCCTTCTTCTCTTAACTCGTCAAAGTCATTATCCTACCTCATCACATTTTTTAAGGATAAACGCTTTTATTTAACAGGTGAAATTATTCGCAGATTGTTTATTTTCTGGTACAACCAGAAAATAGTGAGATATTGAATTATGGCAGGCTTTGACTGTCTTGGGTGTCAGCTTAACATTCTATAGATGGGAGATTAGTTTTCATATCCTATAACACAAAGTACAGTAAATGGCAATATGGAGTCACAGTCCTGCATTTAATGTCTCAAACATTTTTGATTACTTCTGTTTTCATGTTGGTTTTCAGTAGAACTGTGTGGTAAAAAATACTGCTCCTTGGTCATGGCTCTCCCTGTCTGAACGGCATGCAGTCTGCAGCATCTATGGTTGCGGCAGTCCTATTTTCCTAATAAATTTCTTATGCTGTGAAAGACTGAAAATTTGAATATGCAGTGTATATGTTATTACATTCTGAATTGGTATGACATATGTAACAGCTTATCAACATTTGAAGATACTAGTGCTTGATACCCTCTTAAGGAAAATTAAGAGAACATTATCATCTCTATTTTACAGATGCAGCAAAGCTAGGTTAAAAATGAACCTGCTGCTGCTAGAAGTGGCAGGATGCAGGGCCTGGAACCTGACAGGCACTCAACTGGCATGCACACAGTTGCTGAATTAATAAAAATTTGAAAAATACGGAAAATATTCCAATAGAGAGCTAGGAGAGGACTGCAGGTTGCCTGTATTTGGTGTTGCATGAAGCACTATCGGGCTTGGCCCAAAGTATGTAGGAGCCTTGACATTATAAAATACAATAAGAAAGGCTGTATGTTTATTTGCTTGGCAACTGTACAAATAATTTGCATTTCTTTAGCAACTGGTTCCATCATGCAATAGCCTGGCCACAGGATACTGGAGAATTCAATAGAGACAAAAATGAGATTAATACCTGCAATTTCTACTGGAAATGGTTGTTGCAAAAACTAAATGAGGCCATCTATACACAGACAGTCATATTGTCTGCAATTTCTCAAAATACTTCAACATGGGTATTTTTGTGACATAAGGGTGATAATTATTTTTAACCTATACCGTGGGGTAGTTAGCATTTGAATGGCTGATCAAAAGCTCACATAAACAGAAAACCAAGTCAACCATGTTTATCTCTGATGACTACCAGAGGGTTGTTACTTAGAATATTGAATGCTGCAAATGATTTTTCATTGATAAAATGGTGTTCACAACAGGCTCTAAGTATTATACAGACTTCCCCACTCTTGCATAACCTGAAAATAAGAATCTATCTAGCCCAGTTGTCTAAACCTTTCAAAAGGGTGCCCTCAGACCATGAAGTTCTGGGGATCTGATGTACAGCATGGTGACCATAGTTAATATTCTATTATATACTTAAAATCTGCTACAATAGTAGATTTCACACACAGTGAGGTGATGGATGTGTTAATAAACTTGATTGTGGTAATCATTTCACAGTGTCTGCATACATGAAATCATCACACTGTACACCTTAAATATATACAATTTTTATGTGTCAATTATACCTCAATAAAGTTGGGTGGGGAGGGGGAAATGGGGTCCTCAGCTGAAGACTCTCCCCAGTCCTGTCTCTAGATGCTTTGGAGGAAATTTAGTCACCTCATGCTGTCAAGAAAGTTAGCCCAATCCTGATGCTAGAATATTGTCCCATCTGCTTCTAATGAAACTTTTTGTTCAATGTTCTCCAGATCCAACCAAAGGAGAGAGCACAGGGACTGTCTAGAGCAGCTCTGTCCAACAGGACTTTCTAAGATGACATAAATATTTTGTTCGCCTGACTAATAAGGTAGCCACTAGTTCAGGTGGTCACTAACCACTTGAAATGTGGCTAATGTGACTGAAGAATCAATTTTTGTTTAATTCCATTTAAATTTTAGTAGCCGCATGTAGCTACTGGCCATCCTGTTGCACAGCAGTTTGGGAGCTTACAGAACAAGGTTGTGTGATGTTTTTGTGCCTGCTGGCCATTAAATGTTTATATGTGTGGCAGAATTCAATCTGTAAGTTGTGTTCATGGCCATGCTAGATGGTAAAATTGTGGGAGAGGGAACCTGTAGTTCCCCTCTATTAGCACTGTGGACTATGGCAACTCATGATGCATAAACAACTCAGCTGAGGTCAGTTCTCAAAAGAGGCAGCATGGCTGCAGGGAGTCCTGGACTCTGGAGGCGAATCTAGGTCCTCTGAATTGCACAACTTAGTATTAGAATGAAAATACACAACTCGGAGACTGTCATAAAATTAAATTACCAGCCATGGGAAAGCACCAAGCAGAGTGTGTAGCCTTTGGCAGCGGTATGATGCAGTTTAACCTTGTGTACACCAAAACACTATTTTCACCACCTGCCCCCCACTTTAATTAAGTGCACGAGCCTTGATAAGGTTGTATCTGTTTGGGAATGAACATGCAAACAGAGCATAGGAAATCATACCCATCCTCTCCCTGCCCCTGAAAATAAACGTTATAAATATTTCAGCTAAGAATTTGGTTTGGAAGAAGGAAGTCCTTGCCACAATAATTCTTACAAAACAAAATAAGCAATTGAAATAAGGCAACTTCCTTCTTTCTGAGGAGCATCACTTGAAGCCCATTTTTATGTTGGTTCTTTTTTCCTCCTAATTTTATTTACTGGTAAAATACATATAAAATTTACCATTTTGGGGAGTAAAGAGGGAAAGGGAAGATGTTTGTCAACAGGTACAAAGTTTCAGTTAGACAAGAGGAATAAGTCTGGTGTTCTACTGCATAGCAAGGTGATGACAGTTAATAATAATATACTGTATACTTAAAAATAGCTAAAAGAGAGGATTTTAAATGTTCTCACCACAGAAAAGATAAATATTTCAAATGATGGCTATGCTAATTAGCTTGATATGACCATTACACAATATATATGTATCCAAATATCACATTGTACCCCATAAACATATAAATGTCAATTTAAAATAACTTTAATAAGAGAAAAAGAAAAAAACCATTTTAATCATTTCTAAGTGTACAGTTCAGTAGTATTACATACTAAGTATATACTTAGTATGTAATACTAAGTATTATTTCAAATTTACATAAGTTTTTGTCCTCAAAGGTAAAAGAATACACTAATATGTAAAACAGCATTTAAACATGCACGAGATTAACATCAAATTCAGAAGAGTGCTCATGAGGGAAGCCAGGAAAGAAGGGGTTCAGGAAAGAAATAAAAGGGGGCTTAAGTTTTATCTATGTTTTCTTTTTAAAGATATAATGAATTAAATATGGCAAAATGCTAAGACTTGACCTGAGATTTAAGTACATAGGCATTTGTCATGTCATTTTCTGTATGTTAATGTATTCTTCTTTCAATCTTTTTTTTTTTTTTGAGATGGAGTTTCACTCTTGTTGCCCAGGCTGGAGTGCAGTGGTGTGATCTCGGCTCACTACAACCTCCACCTCCTGGGTTCAAATGATTCTCCTGCCTCAGCCTCCTGAGTAGCTGGGATTACAGGCATCTCCCACCATGTCTGGCTAATTTTCTGTATTTTTAGTAGAGAAGGGGTTTCACCATGTTGGCCAGGCTGATCTTGAACTCCTGACCTCAGGTGATCCACCCACGTCAGTCTCCCAAAGTGCTGGGATTACAGGCGTGAGTCACCATGCCCCGCCCTTCTTTTAACTTTTTATTGTGACCTAATTTTAGACTTGCAGAGAAGTTGCAAACATATTACAGAGTATCCATATACCTCTCAGCTTACACCCCTAATGTTAACATCTTACACAACCATAGTACAATGATCACACCAGGATATTAACTCGGATACAGCATGATTAACTAAAACAAAGATGGGTTGGAATTTCCTATTTTTCCACTAGTGTCCTTTTTTTATTCTACAATCCTATCTAGAATCACACATTGCATTTAGTGGTTAGTTCTCCTTAGTCTCTTGCAGTCTGTGACAGTACCTCAGTCTTTCCTTGCCTTTCTTGACTTGACACTTGTCAGTTACTTTGCCAAATGTCCCACGATTGGCGTTTGTTAGATATTTTCTCATGATTAGGTTGAGATTACACATTGTTGGCAAGAATACCAAGGAAACGATGCTCTGCTGTTAGTGCCTTCCATCACAGGTTCAGGATGTCTCTTTTTTGTATGCTTAAAATATTTCATAATTTCAATAAAAAATAAATAAATAGCTGTATTACTCTGGGTTCTGTAGAGATACAAAACCAATAGGAGATGAATGGATGGATGAAAGGAAGGAAGGAGAAGGAAGAAAGAAAAAGGAAGGAAGGGAGGGAGGGAGGGAGGGAAAGAGAAAGAAATAGAAAGGAGGGAGATTTTAAGGAATTCGCTCATGCAATTATGTAGGCTGAGAAGTCCCAAGATCTGCCAACTGCAAGCTGGAGACCCAGAAAAGCTAATGGTATAATTCCAGTCTGAGTCTGAAGGCTTGAGAAGCAGGAGGGCTGATAATGTAAGTGCCAGTCTGATTCCAGGGGCAGGGAAGGACTGTGCAAAATCTCCTTTACTCAGTGTTTTGTTTTACTCAGGCCTCAGTGGATAGGATGATGTCCACCCACACTGGGGAGAGCAATCTGCTTTCCTGGGTCTACTGATTCAAATACTAGTCCATACAGAAATACCCTCATGGACACCTCCAGAATAATGTTGAACAAATACTTAAGCACCACGTGGCCTAGCCAAGTTGACACATAAAATTATGCATCACAACAGCTTAACTTCTAAATTAGAAACTTCCTACTCTGCATATTTAGGTTCCAAATCCCATAAAGTCAAATGGATCTTAGGAAGTGTTCCAATTCTTAGTTATTATTGGCTTCAGGCCTAAAACATTATAAATCCACAACATACTATCATTTCTAAAACTTCAAGAATCTTTATTATAGTTGATCTTGCTTCAAGAGAAAAGGCAGTTTATACTACTTAGATAATGTAATAATTGTAATCCAAGAGAAGCTAGACCTGCAAGTCAAATAAAGGCCCTAAGAAAGAAATTAACATGAGCTGTATTGTTAATGAGGACTCCCAAATCCCCTGATCTTCTTTTGGAAGTGAAAGCAAAGTTATCATTTAGAATTGACTACATTCCTCAGCATACCATCCTAAGAATGATGTGTGTCATTGCTATTTCTATGATGCTTTAGAAAGAAAAACCTAAATGATTATATATTTTTCTCTGGCAAAAAAGAGATTAATCATGGCAAAAAAGTGTTTCAAGCACTTTGACGACCTGAGTTGTATGTATTAAAAGTTGTGTACACACACACACACACAGATTGTAGAGAATATATCTGATACGGTTTTGTTGTGTCCCCACCCAAATCTCAAATTGTAGCTCCCATAATTCCCAAGTGTTTTGGGAGAGAGCTGGTGGGAGGTAATTGAAACATGGGGGTGGGTCTTTCCTGTGCTGTTCTCATGATAGTGAATAAGTCTCATGAGATCTGATAGTTTTATAAAAGGGAGCTCCCCTGTACATGCTCTCTCTCTTGACTGCTGCCATGTAAGACATGACTTTGCTCCTCCTTTGCCTTCTGCCATGATTGTGAGGCCTCTCCAGCCACATGGAACTGTGAGTCCATTAAATCTCTTTTTCCTTATAAACAACTCAGTCTTCGGTATGACTTTATTAGCAGTGTGAGAACAGACTAATACAATATCTCTACAAATATATTGTAGAGAAATGGTATAAATAAGTAAAATTTCAAGTTTTCTCTGAGGTTGCCCCCCTTTGAAGCTCTTCTATCCTCAAGATCACTCTAAACTTTTCTGGTATAGGTTGGGAAATCATTTCTTCTTTAAATGTTTATATTCAGTTCAAAGTGCTCCATTTCCGTGAGTAATGACAAAACATAGTTCCCTGCCCACCCACCCCCCTACCTCCACTCTAGCTGCATGGAGAGGAAGCTACTTATAAATTCTTTTCTAGGTGCTCAGAGTTCTGGAAGGCAGTCACTGAGTTTTTATGAAAAGCCAGAGCAAGGACTCCAGATCCCATTATGCCAAAGAGGAAGCTGAATACTTATTTTAAATCTCATTTTAGCCTGCTCCAAATGTGGACACCATTGCTAGGCCAGTCCTGTATACCATATGTACCTCTTGCAAGTCTCTTAGAACAAGCTGTTCCCCTCACAGGATTTTCTTCCAAGGAACCAGAACATGGGTTTATTTTGGCCTGGAGCAACTCCTCCAGGAATCTTCCCGGGAGGAGATGGGTGGTCAGCCTCCTGAGACAAGAGTGTGTAGAGGTTAGGATATGGGCTCTGAAGCCAGACTACCTATGTTTGAATCCAGGTTCTTGGGTTTATGACTGGGGAAAAGAGAGAGTTATATAACCGTTCATGCCTTGGTTCTTCCTTCTATTGAATGGGGCATATGATGATACTTAACTGATTGAGTTGCTGTGAGGATTGAAAAATGACACACGTAAAGTGCTTATAGTACAAGACCTGGCATATAATAAGTGTTAAATAATTGCTAGGGAAAATTAGCCAGGCATAGTGGTATACACCTGTAATCTTAGCTACCTGGGAGGCTGAGGAAGTTTGCTTGAGGCCAGGAGTTTGAGGCTGCAGTGAGCTATGATGCCATCATTGTACTCTAGCCTGGGCAAAAGAGTGAGACCCCATCTCTAAAAATAAAAAATAATAATAAAATAAAATAAATGCTAGGGGGCCGGGCATGGTGGGTGGCTCACGCCTGTAATACCAGTACTTTGGGAGGCCAAGGAGGGCGGATCACTTGAGGTCAGGAGTTTGAGACCAGCCTGGCCAACATGGAGAAATCTCGTCTCTACTAAAAACACAAAAAATTAGCCAGGCATGGTGGTCCATGCCTGTAATCCCCAGCTACTCAGGAGGCTGAGGCAGGATAATCGCTTGAACCCGGGAGGTGGAGGTTGCAGTGAGCTCAGACCATGACACTACACTCTGGCCTGGGTGACAAAGTGAGACACCATCTCAAATAAATAAATAAATGCCAGGGAACATGTGGCTTCTGACTTAAACACCTTCCAGGATTAATCCAGGTCCACAATCACTCAGGGGAGTTGTGAGCAGTCTGTGGGCACCTGCCAGGCTGCCTCTGTTGGGTAGTAGAAGCTGCTTCTTTCCAACTCTAACTCTGCCTATTTCTTC